>NC_000001.11:203790647-203942162 GCF_000001405.40 Homo sapiens
TTTTTTTTTTTTGAGATGGAGTCTCGCTCTGTCGCCCAGGCTGCAGTGCAGTGGCGCAACTTGGGCTTACCGCAACCTCTGCCTCCTGGGTTCAAGCAACCTCTGCCTCCTGGGTTCGAGTGATTCTCCTGCCTCAGCCTCCCAAGTAGCTGGGACTACAGATGCATGCCACCACACCTGGCTGATTTTTGTATTTTTAGTAGAGAGGGGGTTTCACCATGTTGGCCAGGCTGGTCTTGAACTCCTGATCTCAGGTGATCCACCTGCTTTGGCCTCCCAAAGTGCTGGGAATACAGGTGTGAGCCACTGCACCTGGCCACACATCTAAAATTTTATTTTTTTTTTATTTTTTTTTTTCAGATGGAGTCTTGCTCTGTTGCTCAGGCTGGAGTGCAGTGGCATGATCTTGGCTCACTGCAACCTCTGCCTCCCGGGTTCCAGCGATTCTCCTGCCTCAGCCTCCTAGGTAGCTGGGATTACAGGCGCATGCCACTACGCCCGGCTAATTTTTGTATTTTTAGTAGAGACGGGGTTTCACCATGTTTGGCAGGCTGGCCTTGAACTCCTGATCAGGTGATCTGCCCGCCTCGGCCTCCCAAAGTGCTGGGATTACAGGCATGAGTCGCTGTGCCTGGCCATATCTAAAATTTTAAATGGACGAGTCAGTTATCACTAACAGCTGGCATGGTAGCAAGCCTCCAAGAAAGACCCCAATGATCCCTGGCTCCTGTTACCATGCCCTTGCTTAGTCCCCTCCCACATAATGCCAGTGTTAATCTGTGTGATCAATAGAATACAGAAGAAATGGTGGTATGTAATGCCCAAGGCTAGGTCATAAAAGGCATTGCAGCTTATAGTGTCTATCTTTACTATTTCTCTCGTCATTCACTCTGGGAGAAGCTTGTTGCCTATATCCTGAGCAGCCCTACGGAGAGGCCCTCAGAGTGAGAAACTGAGGTCTCATCTCCTGTTAACAGCTATATGAGTTGACTTGGAAATGTATCTTCTAGCCCCAGTCAAGCCTTCAGATGACTGCAGTCCTGGCCAACTTGATTGCAAACTCATTAGAGACTCTGAGTCAGAACCATCCAGCCAAACTGCTTCTGAATTCCTGACCCACAGACACGTGAAATAACAAATGTTTGTTCCTTAAGCCACTACATTTTTGGGTGATTTTTTACATAGCAATAAATAATAGATTTAGTAAAAATGGTAGCTCTTGCCTGGCCAAGAGGGTATTAAATAATTCAATAAAGTCTTAGTGCTTATATATATCTAAGAAACTTGATAGAAGCTGTACCAAATTTGACAATAATCATACATATATATTTTTTTTTCTTTCTTTTTTTTTTTTTTGACTGAGTCTCACTCTGTCGCCCAGGCTGAAGTGCAGTGGTACACAATCTCAGCTCACTGTAATCTCCACCTCCCGGGTTCAAGGGATTCTGCTGCCTCAGCCTCCCAAATAGCTGGGATTACAGGTGCACGCCACAACATCCAGCTAATTTTTGTATTTTTAGTAGACATGGGGTTTTACCATGTTGCCCAGGCTGGTCTTGAATTCCTGGGCTCAAGTGATCCACTGGCCTGGGCCTCCCATAGTGCTGGGATTACTGGCATGAGGCACTGTGCCCAGCCACAGTTTTTTTTTTTTTTTTAATGTGTAATTTGTTGTGATTTCCTTTTCTAGTCTAAATAAAGATTCTCTTGAACCTAATTTTGTCTCAATAATTTTGCATTTTTTCCCCAAACTTTTGCTCTCAAAGCAAAAACACACTGAACGTCCCAAAAGGTTTTGTCATTCACTGAAGAGGTCTAGATATGTTTAAAATCCATTTAGAATTTGAAGGGCAGTATGAATAGGGGGAATCTGGCATTGTGTCCTTGGTTTAGATACTTCACCCCCACTTATAACATACAAAGGGCAAGCCCAGCCCCACCCCTGAGAATTCTGTGTGTATATATGGGGGGGTGGGGAAGGTTGGCATGTGCACTCTCCTGACTCTTAGAGGGTTTCCCAACTAGTTTTCTCTCTCTGCAACAGCCTTAGGCTTTTTCTCCTGCCTTTTTTTTTTTTTTTTTCTGTGAGACAGGTTCTCTCTCTGTTGCCCAGGTTGGAGTGCAGTGGTGCAATCTTGGCTCACTGCAAACTCTGCCTCCTGGGTTCAGGTGCTTCCCTGCCTCAGACTCCTGAGTAGCTGGGATTACAGGCGGGTGCCACCACACCCGGCTAATTTTGTATTTTTAGTAGAGACAGGCTTTCGCCACGTTGGCCAGGCTGGTCTTCACCTCCTGACCTCTAGTGATCTGCTGGCCTGGGCCTCCCAAAGTGCTGGGATTACAGGCGTGAGCCCCTGCCCAGCTTGCCCTCTTCAATGTCCTTATTACCCTATTATTTTTTCTTTCCCCCCCTTGAGAGATACTAATGGAAAATGAAACATGATTGTTTCCATCAATAAGGGACTGGTGAAATAAATTGTAAAAAGAGGCTTACAGAGAGCGGGATGGGAGCTATTAAAAAGAATGTAGGCCGACGTGGGCAGATTACCTGAGGTTAGGAGTTCCAGACCAGCCTGGCCAACATGGAGAAACCCCGTCTCTACTAAAAATACAAAATTAGCCTGGCGTGGTGGTGCATTCCTGTAATCCCAGCTACTCAGGAGGCTGAGGCAGAAGAATAGCTTGAACCCGGAAGGCGGAGGTTGCATTGAGCCGAGATTGTGCCATTGCACTCCAGCTTGGGAAACAAGAGTGAAACTCTGTCTCAAAAAAAAAAAAAAAAAAAAGAATATGGTAGGCCTCTAAGTGCTGATGACCATTAAAAGATATTCAAGATATATTGTAAAGTGAAAAAAGCAAATTGCAAAACGGTATGTATAGTTTTAGCCTGTTCATATTTTCATTCATTCTAAGATGTACATCCTTTCCTAGCCTGTCACCTAGGCTGGAGTGCAATGGCGTGATCTTGGCTCACTGCAACCTCCACCTCCCAGGATCAAGCAATTCTCTTGCCTCAGCCTCCAAGTAGCTGGGATTACAGATGCGTGCCACTGTGCTGGGCTAATTTTTGTATTTTTAGTAGAGGCAGGATTTCACCATGTTGGCCAGGCTAGTCTCGAACTCCTGACCTTGTGGTTCGCCCGCCACAACCTCCCAAAGTGCTGGGATTAGAGGTGTGAGCCACCCTGCCCGGCCGGCCTGTCAGTTTAATTGGCAGTTGTTGGTTTTTTTCTTCCACTTAGAGGCTTGTAAAATAAAAGTGTATCTTACAATCAATGATACTTTAGGTTTACTGAAATATAACTATAAACTCTATATAGCACACTAGTCAGGCCAGGACTGCATCTTGGAGAGTCCTAGGTTGGAAAACCCTTAAGCTATGTGGAGAGCCCTCTGGTAAATTTTAAAAACCCTAGGTGTCGTGGCACAGACAGAAATTGGTTACCAGTAAGAGTCACACAGACCAAAAAAATGAAGACCAAAACAAAAGAAAAAGAAAAAGAAAGAAAAAAAGAAATTGGCTACCAGGAACTTGCTTATTAGGTCTGTTGACATGGCAATGCCAGAGCACTGTCACGTAAGGCAGAGATTGGAGCTAAGATTCTAAAGTTGTGGTTCTTACTTTGAAAGGAGATAAAAGCCCAGATATGAGGAGGCTCAGGACCCCTCTGCTCTGATAAATTCCTAGTCTTGGGCTGCCTGGGACTCGCACATCACCAACCCGGCAGCTGGAAGAACAAGCACACGAGGAAATAAAAGGTGCCTGAAGTCCCATCTGCTTTATCATCAAGTGTTTCCTTTCTTAGTAGCACAACTATATCCTTTACCCAAGTTAGGTAAAATGTTGCCACCTAATTAGAGTTCTGCTGAGCCACTACCCCAGGGGGACCTTGGGCTCCTATTATATGTGTAATATATTTAAGTATATTTTCAGTGTAAAAGCCAGAAAGGATATATGGTAAGTTAATGAGAGCTATTTCTCAAGAATGAGATTAATAGAGATTTTAACTTTCTACTCTCTATATTTCTGTATTGTTTCTAAAAAAACTTACGTGTATTAAGTTTTTTACTTTTTTTTTTTTTTTTTTTTTTTGAGATGGAGTCTTACTCTGTCGCCAGGTTGGAGTGCAGTGGTGCGATGTCAGCTCAATGCAACCTCTGCCTCCCAGATTCAAGCGATTCTCCTGCCTCAGCCTCTCGAGTAGTTGGGACTACAGGCGCGTGCCACCACGCCTAGCTAATTTTTGTATTTTTGGTAAAGATGAGGTTTCACCATGTTGACCAGGATGGTCTCGATCTCTTGACCTTGTGATCCGCCTGCCGAGGCCTCCCAAAGTGCTGGAATTACAGTCGTGAGCCACCGCACCGGCCACGTGTATTACTTTTATAACCGGGGGAAAAAGTAAAAACATTCAAAAGGGAAAATAAGGGACAATGTTAATAATGAAGCAGGGATGAGACTGCTGATTGCGACCTCCAACTAACTCTCCTGAATTTTGTCACGAGCATGAATTACTTTTCCAATACACAAATTTGCTTTAAGAAATCAAAGAAACACCCCCCCAAAGCCCAATCTCACTTCTTCAAGTAAAAAATAAACTAACAAATCATTCTACATTGCATGCTTAGGAAAAGTACAGTTTATTTCTAAATTAAATGTATACATGGTTTGGGAGATTTACTCATTAAGCAAACACTTTGGTAAGAATAAATTGAGCGCTTACTGAATGGCAGTCTCAGTTCCTGCGGCCCTCCCGCTTATTACCTCATTTGATTTAAAAACAAAAACAAAACGTTATGAAAGCCGGCTTCGAGGCATTCCTCTGAAGGGAAGGGACTCCCCGACCCAGCGCCTCCCCCGTCACGTGACCCTGTGACCCGGAGCAGCCATCTTAGGCATCGCCTCATAGAGGAACTACATCTTCCAGAATCCTCGCGCCCTGCGTCGTGCTGGCACTTTTACCGGCCGGGCCTTAGAGCGGAGCCTGTAGCCAGGCGCCATCTTTGACGCTGGCAGTCTTGGTTTTCTGCTAGTGCTGCTGCTGCTGGGAGGACGACGGACGGCAGCGGCCAAGCAAGAAGAAAGACGTGGCAGCAAGCGGGAGTCGGGGATAGTGT
The DNA here is from genome assembly GCF_000001405.40 of Homo sapiens. Taxonomy (NCBI): domain Eukaryota; kingdom Metazoa; phylum Chordata; class Mammalia; order Primates; family Hominidae; genus Homo; species Homo sapiens. The sequence goes on from NC_000001.11 coordinate 203,795,766, forward strand.
CATCGGTTCGGTAAAGTTTCTGTTCTCTGGTAACTAGACCCGTTTTTTTGATTCCCGGGTGGCTTGGGGCCGGGGAGGTGGGGGAGAGGGCGAGGGGAGTGGCAGCGGCCTCCCCTCGCCCCTGGGTCGCGGCCTATCCCGGGAAGTCAGAGCGGATCCTTCAGCTTCGCCGTAACGACCCCTCCCCCCCACCTCCCGGTCGCGGCCCTCGCCGGGGCTGGCTGGGAGCCCCAGGCTCCCGCTCACTTTTCCCATCCTCCCCACCCCCACCCCGTTCACCCCACCCCCACGGCGCCTGCTCCTTTCCCAGCCAACCTTCCTCCCCTCCCCCACATCCGGTGTTCGCTAATCTCGAGGAGCCCGGAGCAGCCCCGAAAACCGACTGTTCCCCCGAATCCCGAAGAGAGAACTGACACTAGATTGCTTTCTTCGGGGCAACAGTTTCTCTAGTTGAGCGGACCCTCACTGCCTAAATCAATCAGACTGAGTGCCGGGCGCTGAATTTACCTACTCTCATTCCTCTCCAGGGTCCCGGTACTTTGGAGCTTGTCTCAAACTCCACATACAGAAAGCCACCGACCTTATTCCGGTATCCTACACCCATTCCCCACTCTCATTACACTCCCACCCCTGGCCCTCAGCGTCGGAGTCAAGAGCAACAGGGACACTTCCGTTCTCCTTGTAGGACTGGTGAAACCGTAATGAAGAACACCCCTAAACTCCCATAATCGGTGCGGATTCCTATGGGGAAGGCCTATATTGTTGACATCTTCCAGGCCTTGGTTCTGGACCTTGAGAAAGAGGCTGTGGAACTAGAGATAGCGATGCTTTTTAGGGTAAATGTATGTAGGTATTGGGGGAAGGGGAGGGATCAATCGAAAAATGGAAGTGGTTTAAAGTTCATATTTCACTTTTTGCTATCTCTATAGCGTACAACTTGTGAGTTACTTACAGGCTGTAAAAGCTTCTCAAGTCTAAAAATATCTGAAAACTAAACTTGAATTAACTCTTAATACAAACAGTACTTTGAAAATGCAGCATTTAACCTTGTTTTAAAATTTTTTTCTCAAAGCATTTTTTTCCAGCCACTCACATTTTAAAAGGTTGTATTACTTTTAGTTAGAACTGAAAGGGCTCAACTAGCATTTGCTGTGACCAGTATGCGGAGTCTGTGTTGGCTTTCCAGAATTGACTTTTTGGGTTGTATTGGCAAATCACAGTCCTAAATGATGAATGTTGAATGATGCACTATGTTTTTGTTTAAATGAGATTTCCTGAAAATAGTTAATTTCAGAATTAAGGGAAATTGATGTCGCTATCATGAGGCATCATAAAAATATGTATTTTACAAGGTGAAGGCATTTCAAGTAGATATAGTTCTTGATGAAGCAGGAAGAACATGGATCTGGGATTTGGAAGACCTGGCTTCTAGCTGCTACTAACCAACTCTGTGACTCTGGGAAAGGGGGACTCAGTTCTTACTTCTGTAACATGAGGACACTGGACTATTTGAATTCAGAACTTAGAAAATTGGAAGGGACCTTAAAGCCCTCTAAGAAAGAGTTCGGGAATGTTCTCCATTGCTGTCAGTTTTCCTCCAAAAATAACCTGGCTTGGAAGTTATTGGTCCAGTGGGAATTTGATTCCCCATAGAAACTGGAGAAAAGGTAATGCAAGTAGAGAGGAACAGCTGTATTTCTGCTTGAGTAATAAACCCACTAACAGATTCTGGTACGAATTGTGGAGACATAAAGAGAATGAGTGTATGTACTCTAAGTGTACCAGTTTCTTCACTCTCTCCTGGCAGAAGATGCAACACTTTTAGTGATTCTGGGATTCTGGGATGTGTTCCTATTAATTCTAATACAGATGAAGAAGATGTGGTAGAGGAAAAGATGGTAGCAGAAGGAGTGAATAAAGAGGCAAAACAGCCTGCTAAAAAGAAAAGAAAGAAGGGTTTGCGAATTAAGGGGAAAAGGCGTCGAAAAAAATTGATTCTTGCCAAAAAGTTTAGTAAGGATTTGGGATCTGGGAGGCCTGTTGCAGATGCCCCTGCTTTGTTAGCTTCCAATGACCCTGAGCAGGATGAAGAAAGTCTTTTTGAGAGCAATATAGAAAAACAGATCTATCTACCTAGTACTAGAGCCAAGACCTCCATTGTGTGGCACTTCTTTCATGTTGACCCCCAGTACACCTGGCGGGCCATTTGTAACCTCTGTGAGAAAAGCGTCAGCAGGGGTAAACCAGGTAGCCATCTTGGTACATCTACTCTTCAACGACATCTGCAAGCAAGGCATTCACCTCATTGGACCAGGGCCAACAAGTTTGGAGTTGCTAGTGGAGAGGAGGACTTTACCTTGGATGTGTCTTTATCTCCCTCTTCTGGAAGCAATGGAAGCTTTGAATATATTCCTACTGATCCATTAGATGATAATAGAATGGGCAAGAAGCATGATAAATCAGCATCTGATGCCCTAAGGGCAGAAAGAGGGAGATTTCTCATCAAAAGTAACATTGTCAAGCATGCTTTAATTCCTGGAACTAGAGCCAAGACATCTGCCGTTTGGAATTTTTTTTACACTGATCCTCAGCACATCTCAAGAGCTGTGTGTAATATATGTAAAAGAAGTGTGAGCCGGGGTAGGCCAGGGTCCCACTTAGGGACTTCAACACTTCAACGACACCTGCAAGCCACACATCCTATCCATTGGGCTGTTGCCAACAAAGACAGTGGTGCTGTTGCAAATGGATTAGATGAAGCTGAGACTGAGAGAAGTGATCTCTTGAGTGATACCTTGCATGGAGAAAAGTCTACAGGCAGCCAAGATTTAACAGCTGAGGACCTTAGTGACTCTGATTCAGATGAACCTATGTTAGAGGTTGAAAACAGATCTGAAAGTCCTATTCCCGTTGCAGAGCAAGGCACTCTGATGCGTGCGCAGGAGAGAGAAACAACATGTTGTGGAAATCCAGTCTCAAGTCACATAAGTCAGGCAATTATCCAAATGATTGTGGAGGATATGCATCCTTACAACTATTTCTCAACCCCAGCCTTTCAGAGGTTCATGCAGATTGTGGCCCCTGATTATAGGTTGCCATCAGAGACTTACTTTTTCACTAAGGCTGTACCTCAGTTATATGATTGTGTCAGAGAAAAAATTTTCTTAACTTTAGAGAATGTTCAAAGCCAAAAGATACACCTGACTGTTGACATATGGACCCATGACCCATCCACTGACTATTTTATTGTGACTGTACACTGGGTTTCTTTGGAAACTGCGTCTTTTCTCAATAATGGCAGGATCCCCGATTTTAGAAAGTGGGCAGTGCTTTGTGTTACAGGTTTGGCTAAAGACTGTTTGATAACCAATATTTTACAAGAATTAAATGACCAGATTGGTCTGTGGCTTTCTCCAAATTTCCTTATCCCTAGCTTCATTGTTTCTGACAATTCCTCTAATGTGGTACATGCAATCAAAGATGGTGGTTTTACCCATGTGCCATGCTTCCTGCATTGTTTAAATATGGTCATTCAGGACTTTTTCTGCGAGCACAAAAGCATTGAGAATATGTTAGTGGCTGCCAGGAAAACTTGTCATCATTTTAGTCATTCGGTCAAGGCCCGTCAGATACTGCAAGAGTTCCAAAATGATCACCAACTTCCATGGAAGAATTTGAAGCAGGACGAAACTGGCCATTGGATTTCTACTTTTTATATGTTAAAATGGCTCTTGGAGCATTGCTACTCAGTTCACCATAGTCTTGGTAGAGCCAGTGGAGTTGTGCTCACCTCCCTTCAGTGGACTCTAATGACTTATGTTTGTGATATTCTTAAGCCATTTGAGGAGGCTACCCAGAAAGTGAGCGTGAAGACCGCAGGATTGAATCAGGTGCTACCCCTAATCCATCATCTACTCCTTTCCCTGCAGAAACTCAGAGAAGATTTTCAAGTCAGAGGTATTACTCAGGCCCTCAATCTGGTGGATAGTTTATCTCTGAAACTTGAAACAGATACCCTACTAAGTGCCATGCTTAAATCCAAGCCCTGTATCTTGGCTACTTTGTTAGATCCTTGCTTTAAAAACAGTTTGGAAGACTTTTTTCCTCAAGGTGCTGATTTAGAAACTTATAAGCAGTTCCTTGCAGAAGAGGTCTGTAATTATATGGAATCTTCACCAGAGATCTGCCAAATTCCAACTTCAGAAGCTTCTTGTCCCTCAGTTACAGTGGGAGCTGATTCATTTACCTCATCTCTAAAAGAAGGCACCTCCAGTTCAGGTTCTGTTGATAGCTCAGCTGTAGACAATGTTGCCCTTGGAAGCAAAAGCTTCATGTTCCCTTCTGCTGTAGCAGTTGTGGATGAGTACTTCAAAGAGAAGTATTCAGAGTTCTCAGGAGGTGATGACCCTTTAATTTACTGGCAGAGGAAGATAAGCATATGGCCGGCTTTGACCCAGGTTGCCATCCAGTATCTAAGTTGCCCCATGTGTAGTTGGCAATCTGAATGTATCTTTACTAAAAATAGCCACTTTCATCCAAAACAGATCATGAGCCTGGACTTTGACAATATAGAACAACTGATGTTTCTGAAAATGAACTTGAAAAATGTTAACTACGATTATTCTACGTTGGTTCTGAGCTGGGATCCTGAGCAGAATGAAGTTGTTCAAAGCAGTGAAAAAGAAATACTGCCTTAATTTCTTTTTCTCCATTTAAAATGGGCAACTTTTTGCTGTGTTACTGTATCTTAATAGCTGTAGTTGTTAAATATAATCATTATCTTTATAAACACATCTGGGGAAACCTGAAATCACACAAGGGCTGAAAATTCCTCAGAGGCAATATAATTTTGATAAAATGAAGATTAAAGATTTCATAGCTATAACTGTGGCGCTAGCACTTGAAAATTTTGCTTATACCAATGAGAGAGAAGATATTTTTAATTAAAAAAAATATAGTGCAGCATTGAAAGGCCTTAGGCTTTCTTCCTGGTAGATTGAACTAGTAATTGGTTTTAAGTAAAACTTCCCCCACCATGGGAAATTTTATTGCTCTGAAATCAACGAAATGAGAAAAAAGTACACTGGCTGGCATTCCTCCTGCCCCTGTTTTTCTGTTTCCTTAAAAACCCTGATGCTTAATTACAACTTGGCAAAAAGAAAACCCGTGAAATTGTTTTATATTTGGAAATTTCTAATTGCCTCCTCATACTGGTCAGCTTTATAATTTCAAATTGTTGAGTGTGATAGTGTTACCCTTTAGAATTGGATCTTATATAAAAGGGAAATATTAGAAAACAATTAGGAAAATATACTTTTAGTCTTTGAAATGCCTGTTTTAACCTTTATAAAATATTATAAAAATAGATTGTGTAGGTACTTTCAAATAATTTATGGGTAAAAACAGACTAAAATGTTTGCAAGAATTGGAAAAGGTTGAATGGGAATTGTAATGAGAGCCCTTTGAACATGCTTGGAAAAACCCAGTAGACATTTCCCAAAGATTGTTTCTGTAATTTTAGGTAATCTTTTTAAAAACATACTTAATGACCCATTATACTGTATTAACTGTGCGGTTGTTTTGGCCACTGAATTCTTAATGAAAACTAAGCAGTCGGTATTTTTATGTGTTAGGAATCATTGGTGAAATGAGTGAATTGATCTCATTTTAAGATCCCTTTCTACTCTGAAAGTATGTTTCTGAGATTGAGTAGGAGGCCAGAAAATGATGACTTTTAGTAAAAGTCTATTAAAAGTTTCAGACTGAATAACTAATGTGAGATCCCAATTTTTCCTTTTTTTCATTTTAGATTTGGGGATATTCCCTGCCCAAAAAATTCCTGGAAAATTGACTAGTATTAAGTGTGAGTAAAAGGTGTCCACTTTTTTTTAAGTTTTGATTTTAGTTTTGTCTTGGATAGTATTTGGCAAGATTTAGCCTAGAAATTATGTAGTATTTATTACATAAGAATCAAAATTGCTTTGTTACTGGGCTGGTTTCAAAGTTTAGAACTCATTTCTATGTATCAAAATCGGGTTTTTTTTGGTTTTGATTTTTTTTTTTTTTAAATTCTTAAATGGTAAATATGCCATTGTGAAATGAAATCTCAACTCCAAAAGTTTACCCTTTTACTAACTGGAGTAAATGTATACTTACAAAGTCTTTAGCTGTAGCCATTAGTAGTAAAGAATTTGGACCTAGGCTGCGTAAGCAAGCCTTTCCAGGGCCACTATTTAATGGCAAACCAGTGATACTGGTGTTGATACAAAATAAGAAATAAATTTTCCCTTAGATAAAGCTTTCTGTGTTTTGACAGTGCCAGTTTAGAATGGCTATAATGCTGCTCTGCCTTCTACAGCTTGCTGCACCACTCTGTAGTTACTCTATTACCATACGTTTCTATCTTTTTTGGTTAAACACTCCCTGATGACGATGATGGATATATATACATACATCCATATTATACATAATGATATATGTGTAAGGATTTACCTTCGTCTTTATTTTGTGGGCTGGGCAAAATTTAGTGTAACAATAACTTCATGATACTTTGGTATAAGAGTAAGTTCTTTATTTTTATAATGAACCCAAATCTAAAGTCTTTTATAGTGCATTTTAAAAGGGGAAACTTATCCAAATGTTATATTTCTATACATTTTTGTGTATATGTGTGTGTGTATAAGCCAGTTAGTATATATCTGTATGTATATTATATACATAAAACACTATATTTTTACATACAAGTATGCTTTTATTATACAGATAATAAAGATGGGGGAAGGTTTCTGTTTTTTTCTTAATAGGTGAAGAAATCTTGAAGACCAGAAATTGGATCTTACTGAAAAACTGATGTTTTTTTGTTTTTTTTTTAAATTATATTGTTCAGCTATGGAAGATGGAGTTTTTTTTCATGATCCTTTAACTCTCAAGTTCATCTTTAAATGAACTCTTTTTTTTTGTTTTTTTTTTGTTTTGTTTTGTTTTGTTTTTGAGGAGATAACTAACCCTAGCTGTCTCCAGTCTGACAAAGGTTATTTGAATGGACTTAATCTCCCAGTAGTTGGGAGATGTTTTAAAAACACATGCTGTGTTTGAATTGTGGCTGAGAGGTTTTCTTGGCAATGTGAGGAGGAAATTTTTTTCTGCCTCATTATTATTAATTCATGGATTGAGTGTTGGTTCGACCTACAGGCGTAATAGATTGGAACTCAGTGAAGACACAGATGTTCCTGTTCAGAGCAACCAGCTAATGTAAGTGGGGAAGCAGGCATTTTTCGCATGAAAGGAGTGAACATTCTTGTCATTTAAGGCATAATTTTCATGGATCAGTAAGAAATTAAAAGGCCATTGTTCAGACATTTTTGCTTGTACATAATTGTTTACAAATTTTTAGTTTTGGGATGGAAACATATTTTTTTCTTTCTTTTCTTTTTTTCTTTTTTGGAGACGGAGTTTTACTCTTGTCCCCTAGGCTGGAGTGCAATGGTGCCATCTTGGCTCACTGCAACCTCCTCCTCCCAGGTTCAAGCAGTTCTCCTGCCTCAGCCTCCTGGGTAGCTGGGATTACAGATGTGCACCACTACACCGGATAATTTTTGTATTATTAGTGGAGATGAAGTTTCACCATCTTGGCCAGGCTGGTCTGGAATTCCTGACCTCAGGTGATCCACCAGCCTCAGCCTCCCAAAGTGCTGGGATTACAGGCATGAGCCACCGCCTCTGGCCCATAGTTTTTCTTTCTTTGTTTTGATAATATATGTACATTGTAAAAAAGGTAAAAACAGCATAGCCAAAGTGAAATCTTCCTGTAATTCCATCTCCTTGGAGAAAAGCACTGGGTTATTTTGTTTCGTTTTGAAACAGGGTCTTGTGCTCTGTCACTGAGGCTGGAGTGCAGTGGCATGATCATAGCTCACTGCAACGTCAAACCCCTGGGCTTAAGAGATCCTATTGCCGAAGCCTCCTGAGTAGCTGGAACTACAGGTGTGCCCCACTGTACCTGGCTACTTTTTAAAACCTTTTGTAGAGATGGAGTTGCTCTGTGTTGCCCAGGCTGTTCTCAAACTCCTGGGTTCAAGCAGTCTTCCTGCCTTGGCCAACCAGTGTTGGGATTACAGGTGTGAGCCACCATGCCTGGCCTCCCATTCCTTTTTAAATAATGATTCTAGATGATTTTATAATCAAGTTCCAGTAATAAACTCTAATTGGGATTTTGACTTGAATTACATTCGATGTGTGCATTATTTTTTGGGGAGAAGTAATTTCTTTAATCCTCTATTTATTCATTATCCAGGTCTTCTGTGCCTTAGTAGTTTCATAGTGTTTTGGTTTTGTTTTTAATTTAATGTGGGTCTTGCATACTTCTTCATTTTCTTCCTGTATATGTGTTTTTTTTTTTTTTTTTGAGACAGAGTCTCGCTCTGTCGCCCAGGCTGGAGTGCAGTGGCGTGATCTCGATTCACTGCAAACTCCGCCTCCCGGGTTCACGCCATTCTCCTGCCTCAGCCTCCCGAGTAGCTGGGACTACAGGCACCCGCCACCTCGCCTGGCTAACTTTTTTGTATTTTTAGTAGAGACGGGGTTTCACCGTGTTAGACAGGATGGTCTCCATCTCCTGACCTCGTGATCCGCCCGCCTCGGCCTCCCAAAGTGCTAGGATTACAAGCATGAGCCACCACGCCCGGCCCTTCCTGTATATCTTTTTATTGTGAATGGTCTCTTCCTGTATATCTTTTTACTGTGAGTGGTACTCTGCCATCATCTGAATGATTATTGCTGGTATGAAGGAAATTTACTGCTTCTTGTAGATCTTACATTTTTATTATTTTCAATTTGTTTTAGTTGATAGATTTTCTAGTTTGCAAGCATGTAATCTGCAGGTTCTGGATTTTTTTCTTTTTTGCCTCATCTTTTTTTTTTTTTTTGATATGGAGTATTGCTCTCGTTGCCTAGGCTGGAGTGCAATGGTGCTGTCTTGGCTCATTGCAACCTCTGCCTTCCAGGTTCAAGTGATTCTTCTGTCTCAGCCTCCCAAGTAGCTGAGATTACAGGCGCATGCCACCATGCCCGGCTGATTTTTGTATTTTTAGTAGAGATGGGGTTTCATCATATTGGCCAGGCTGGTCTCAAACTCCTGACCTCAGGTGATCTGCCCAACTCGGCCTCCTAAAGTGCTGGGATTACAGGCGTGAGCTATTGTGCCCGGCCTGTCTCGTCTTTTTAATATATGTTTGTAATTTATGCCTTTTTTTCCTTTTGAAAAAATTGAGTAAATAAATGTCCTATTCATCAAATATCAAGAAATATTCATTATTGATTTCAAGATGTAGTATTAAGGAAACCACAGAATCAAAATACCCACTTCTGATACAGTAGTGATTTTTTTTTTTTTTTTTGAGACAGAGTCTTGCTCTGTCGCCCAGGCTGTGGGGTGATCTTGGCTCACTGGACCTCCGCCTCCTGGGTTCAAGCAATTCTCCTGCTTCAGTCTCCCGAGAGTAGGACTACAGGCGCCCGCCACCACACCCGGCTAATTTTTTGTATTTTTAGTAGAGATGGGGTTTCACCATGTTGGCCAGGCTGGTCTCGAACTTCTGACCTTGTGATCTGCCTGCCTCAGCCTTTCAAAGTGCTGGGATTACAGGTGTGAGCCACCGCGCCCTGCCAGAATCAAGTTTTAGTACAAAGAAAGCATTTCCCAAGCAATGAGTCTCAAAGGAAAAAAATAGAAGAGCAATGTAATTAAACTTTCCTTCAAAGAAAGGACAGAAACGTATCTGTTACGGTAAATTTGGAAAGATCAGTATTTCATAGTCCCATAATATGTTTTACATGATGTACTTAAATGCAAATGTATGAAGCAGGGATCTGTGGCAATCCAAATTCATCCACCAGAACTCCATCCTTGTTTTTGTGACAGTGGGAACACCTTCTGGAATTGCAGGTGCAGATGCTGGCTCATCTAAATAGAACTCTTGGTCAGCCACAAGCTCATCACCCAGTGTATCCAACTCTGCTTCTAGGTTGTCTTCATCTAATTCTGGGCCGCCATAACTGCGACTCAGTGCTTCTTGGATTTCATTTGCATCTTCCATCATGTCCACTAGCTGGTCTTGTAAATTCTCAATCTGGTCAGTTTTCACTTGCTTGTCTACCTTCATTTCCTTTGCTCCCAGTTTCATAGCATCAACCGTGGTCTTGGTATCCTTCAATGACTGGATGGTGTAATTAACTTGTTTCATGTTGAATGACTCTTGGGTGCGATTGTCCTGCTGCTGCTCATACATCCGCTTTTGTTTTAAAACTCGCAAGGCTTTCTGCGTAATCATATTCTTTGTAGGACCCCCTCTCATCTTGATCTGGTCCTTATACTTCACTAGCTCAGCATCCAATCTAGAAATCTTGTCAGTGGATTCTGCCCTGCTGTCCACCATGCCAATGCAGTCATTCAGGCTGGGCAGCGGAGCCTTAATTTCACTTTCCTGAAGAATCAGTTTATCTTGAGTGGCTGTAAAGGAACCCATACACCTTTTTTTCTTTTTCCTTTTTTTTTTTGAGACGGAGTCTCGCTCTGTCACTAGGCTGGAGTTCAAGTGGCATAATCTTGGCTCACTGCAGCCTCTGCCTTCCGGGTTCAAGCGATTCTCCTGCCTCAGCCTGCTGAGTAGCTGGGATTATAGGCATCTGCCATCATGCCCGGCTAATTTTTGTATTTTTTAATAGAGATTAGGTTTCACCATGTTGGCCAGGCTGGTCTTGAGCTCCTGGACTCAAGTGATCAGCCCACCTAGGCCTCCCAAAGTGCTGGGATTATAGGCATGAGCCACCGTGCCCGGCCTAACACCTTTTTTTCTTAATGCATATACTAGAACATCTGGAACAGTGTTGAAAGATGGTGAAGACTGTTGAATGGGTGTCCTTTTTTCGCTTATCTTGAGTTAGTTTACCTCTAGTGTTTTACCATATTGCATATGCTGATGATTTCTGGTGATTATGTGCATTTATGCTAGGAAGTACCTTACAATTTACCAAGTTTTTGTTGAGTGGATATTGCACCTCAGGTTCCTTTTTTTTTTTTTTTTTGCTATTTTACTTGATAAAGACTACTTCAAGTACTTTTCTTCACTTTTTAACCATTTTTTCTTTTTTGAAGTCTTTCAAAAATTACTACAGGATTTTTTTTGTTTTTTACCCCTTTTACTCTAGTAAATATAATGAGTTTCCTAATGTTAACCCATTCCTAGTCCCAGAATAAACCTTTTTGATTATGTAGTGTTATTTATTTTATTTCAATTTTTATTTAGAGATGGGGTCTCATTGTGTTGCCCAGGCTGGTCTCAAACTCCTAGCCTCAAGTCAGTAATCCTCCCAAAGCTCCGGGATTACAGGCATGAGCTACCATTCCTGACCATGTTACTATTTTAATATACAGCTGGTTCAATTTGCTAATGCTTTATTTAGGATTTTTTATCTGTGTCATAAATCAGATGTCCAAAGCAGCTGTTTTAAACATTTTTAAAATTTTTATTTATTTATTTAGAGACAGTGTCTTGCTCTTTTGCCCAGGTTGGAATACAGTGATGTGATCATAGCTCAGTGCAACCTCAAACTCCTGGGCTCAAGGCTTCCTCCAGCGTCAGCCCCCTGAGTAGCTGGGATTACAAATGTGACTCACTATGCCTGGCTATTGGTAAAAATATTATGACTGTTTTTTGGGTTTGTAATATATGTGACACAAAGTTTTGTTTTGTCTTACTGTTTTTTTTTTGTTGGTTTTTTAGAGATAGAGTCTCGCTCTGCCTCCCAGGCTGGAGTGCAGTGATGTGATCATAGCTCACTGCAGTCTCAAACTCCTGGGCTCAAGTGATCCTTCCAGCTCAGCCTCCCAAGTAGCTAGGACCACAGATGTATGGACCATGCCCAGCTAAATTTTTTTTTCTTTTGGGAGAGAGACATGGTCTCACTATGTTGCCCAGGCTTATTTATTTATTTTTTGAGAGAGGGTCTTGCTCTGTTGCGCAGACCAGAGTGCAGTGGGGCAGTCACGGCTCACTGCAGCCTCGACCTCTTGGGCTCAAGCAATCCTTCTGCCTCAGCGTCCCAAGTAGCTGGGAGTAAAGACATGTGCCACCATACCTGGCTAATTTTTTAATTTAGTGTAGAAACTAGGTCTCATTATGTTGCCCAGGCTGGTCTTGAACTCCTGGGTTCAAGCAGTCCTCCTGTCTCGGCCTCTCAAAGTGCTGGCATTACGGATGTGAGCCACCATGCCTGGCCTGTTTTGTTTTTTTTCTACTTTTATTGAGTACTTTTTTGTAAGTTCTTTTTCTTAAGTTAGAATATTTTCTTGAGTATTTTTCAAAAGTATAAGTACATAGGTGATATACTTTTTGAGAATTTTTGTATCTAAAAACTTCTAAGTTCTGAGCTATTTGTGAAATGTAGTTTGAAATTCTAAACTTAAAGGTCATAATCTCCTTTACATTCTGGATGAATAGCATTTTGTCTTTTGGCATTTAGAGATTCAGATGAGAAGTCTAATAATGTCAAGTCTGATTTTCTTTCCTTTGTTGTCAATCTGATTTTTCCTGAAAGTTTGTATGATTTTGTCTTTACCATTGGAATTCAAAAATTTTACCATGTCTGTGTATAGCAGAGATGTCTTTAAAGAAAAGTTCTGCCTGGCATTTGATGATCCCCTTTAATGTAAAGACTCAAGTCCATCAAATTTAAGGAAATGTTCTTATATTGTTTCTTTCATAATCTCTACAAATTCCATTCCTTTTTAGGATTTCTATTTATAGAAATTGAGTTTTCTGGAATTATTTTCATTTCATATACAATTTCCCTCTTAGTGACATATGTTGGCATTTTTGGTTTGGATTCGTGGAGATGTCGTGTCAGTAATCTCTTGTAATTCAGTTATTATGTTTTTCATCAGTGTTTATTCTGTTCTTTCCTCTACTGAAATCTATTTTTGAAGGTAGGGGCTGGAAATTAGAGTCTTCATCTTCGTCGTCGTCATCGCCATCTTCTTCTTTTTTTTCTTCATTATTATCATTATTTTATATATTTATTTTCTTGAGAAGGCGTTTTTCTGTTGTTGCCCAGGATGGAGTGCAATGGCACAATCTTGGCTCACTGCAACCTCCACCTCCCGGGTTCAGGTGATTCTCCTGCCTCAGCCTCCCAAGTAGCTGGGATTACAGGCATTCGCCACCACGCCCAGCTAATTTTGTATTTTTAGTAGAGACAGGATTTCACCATGTTGGTCAAGCTGGTCTCGAACTCCTGACCTCAGGTGATCCACCTGTCTCGGCCTCCCAAAGTGCTAGGATTACAGGCATGAGCCACCACACCCAGCCTGAGTTTTCTTATTATTTTTGAAGCTTTGTTTTCTTCTCACTGTTTTTTTTTTTTTTTTTTTTTGAGATGGAGTCTTGCTTTGTCTCCCAGGCTGGAGTGCAGTGGCATGATCTTGGCTCACTGCAACCTCCGCCTCCAGGGTTCAAGCGATTCTTCTGCCTCAGCCTCCCGAGTAACTGGGACAACAGGCGCACACTACCGTGCCCGGCTAATTTTTTATATTTTTAGTAGAGGCGGTGTTTCACCATATTGGCCAGGCTGGTCTCAAACTCCTGACCTCGTGATCCGCCCATCTCCGAAATCCCAGGTTGCTGGGATTACAGGCCTGAGCCACCGCACCCAGCCCCACTCTTTTTTCATAGTGGTATGTTCATTTGTAGCAATGCTATATCCTTTAAAACTTGCTGAGAGCATGAAGATTTTAAAATAATATGTCCTTTTTCCTACATTAACTTCTAGAGAGTGGGTTGAGAAAGGTCCCATTATTTTTCTTGGCTTCATATTTTCAAACGGTTATTTTCTGTTGAAAAGTAACCAGGTTAACCGGGTGCGGTGGCTCACGGCTGTAATCCTAGCACTTTGTGAGGCTGAGATGGGCAGATCACTTGAGGTCAGGAGTTCGAGACCAATCTGGCCAACATGGTGAAACCCCGTCTCTACTAAAAATACAAAAATTAGCCAGGCATGGTGGCAGGCGCCTGTAATTCCAGCTACTCGGGAGGGTGAGGCAGGAGAATTGCTTGAACCCAGGAGGTGGAGGTTGCAGTAAGTCAAGATCACGCAACTGCACTCCAGGTTTGGGCAACAGAGCGAGACTCTCTCAAAAATAACAAAACTAAACAAAAAAAAGTAACTGGGTTTTTCTTGGCAACCTAGATACTTTTTTTTTCCTTTTAAACTTAAGAAATTTATGGATGTGCATCTTTGTTTTGTGTTTTTGCATGGGATAGTATTGATTATAAAGTCATTGGAGCATCATTTAAAAGCTGGAGTGGTGTTTTTTTTGTTTTTGTTTTTTGTTTTTTTTTTAAGAGATGAGGTCTGTCTGTTGCCCAGGCTGTTCTTGAACTCCTGGTCTCAAGTGATCCTCTTGCCTTGGTCTCTCAAAGTGTTAGGATTATAGGCATGAGCCACTGCACCTGGCCTTGCCGTTTTCTTGAATGGCAATTATATTTGTTTTTATCCTAGTGAAAGTTACAGAAGCTTAGTGTATAAAGATGATATATAAAGAAACTTTTCTTTTTTTCTTTATCTCTTATTTCCTTTTTCTTGTTTTACATTGTAGCTGTTAGGTTTTTTTTTTTTTTGAGACAGAGTCTCACTCTGTCGCCCAGGCTAGAGTGCAGTGGCGCGATCTCAGCTCACTGCAACCTGCACCTCTGGGGTTCACACCATTCTCCTGCCTCAGCCTCCAGAGTAGCTGGGACCACAGGCGCCCACCACCACGCCCAGCTAATTTTTTGTATTTTTAGTAGAGATGGGGTTTCACAGTGTCAGCCAGGATGGTCTCGATCTCCTGACCTCGTGATCCACCCGCCTCGGACTCCCAAAATGCTGGGAATACAGGCGTGAGCCACCGCGCCCGGCCAGCTCTTAGATCTGACGAAGGAGTTTTTTCTGTTGAAACATTAGTAAGGGAGTGTTATCTACTCAGGATTCCATTTCTCCACACTCTGCCCAACTTTGAGGGCTCTTTGCAGAAAATGATTTGAAAATTAGTTGTGGGCCAGACGCTCACGCCTGTAATCCCAGCACTTTGAGAGGTTGAGGCGGGCAGATGACCTGAGGTCAGGAGTTTCACACCAGCCTGGCCACTATGGTGAAACTCCATCTCTACTAAAAATACAAAAAAAAAAAAAAATTAGCAGGGTATGGTGGTAGGCGCCTGTAATCCCAGTTACTTGGGAGGCTGAGGCAAGAGAATCGCTTGAAACCAGAAGGTGGAGGTTGCAATGAGCCGAGATTGCGCCACTGCACTCCAGCAGCCTGGGTAGAAGAGTGAAACTCTGTCACAAAAAAAAAAAAAAAAAAGCCAAGTGTGGTGGTGGGCACCTGTAATTCCAGCTACTTGGGAGGCTGAGGCAGGCGACTCACTTGAACCCAGGAGGTGGAGGTTGCAGTCAGCTGAGGTCGTGCCATTGCACTTCAGCCTGGGCAACAAGAGCAAAACTCGAAACTCCGTCTCCAGATAAATAAATAAATAAAATTAGTTGCCAAAAAATTGTAAATTCTGCTGTGTCTTTGCATTTCATAGCTACCATTTCATTGTTTCAATTACTTTGTTGCTGGTCTTTCTAAAACCGGTAACAGTTTCAAATATGTTCTTTGGAATATTGATTTTGTGAGTGAGATTGACCTCTAAGCCTTTTATTCCCCTTAAAAACTTTTTTTTTCTGGAGGCAGAATCTTGCTCTGTTGCCTAGTCTGGAGTGCAGTGGCAAGATTGTGGCTCACTGCAACCTCTGCCCCCTGGATTCAAGCGATTCTTGTACATTAGCCTCCCGAGTAGCTGAGACTACAGTTGTGGGCTACCACGCCTGGCTAATTTTTTGTATTTTCAGTAGAGATGGGATTTTGCCATGTTGGCCAGGCTGGTCTTGAACTCTTGACCTCAAATGACTTTTTTTATTATTAAACTTTTTCCTTTGTTGCATATATGTCTGAAAAGTATTCAGATAGCTTTGTCTTTTTCTTTTTTTTTTTTTTTAGACAGGTCTCACTGTCACCCAGGCTGGAGTGCAGTAGTGTGATCTTGGTTCACTGCAACCTCCACCTCCTGTGTTCAAGTGATTCTCACACCTCAGCCTCCTGAGTAGCTGGGACTATAGATGTGTGCCACCATGCTTGGCTAATTTTTATATTTTTTGATAGAGACGAGGTTTCACCATGTTGGCCAGGCTGGTCTTGAACTACTGACCTCAAGTGATCCACCCACCTCGGCCTCCCAAAGTGCTGGGATTACATGTATGAGTCACCACACTGGGCCTTAACTTTCATTTTAAATTCAGGGGTACATGTGCAGGATGTGCAGGTTTGTTACACAGGTAAATGTGTGTCGTGGGGGTTTGTTGTACAGATTATTTCATCACCCAGGTATTAAGCCTAGTATCTATTAGTTGTTTTTCCTGATCCTCTCCCTCCTCCCACCTTCTACCTTCTGATAGGCTCCAGTGTTTGTTGTTCCCCTCTATGTGTCCAAGTGTTCTCAGCATTTAGCTCCCACTTATAAGTGAGAACATGCTGTATTTGGTTTCCTGTTTCTGCATTAGTTTGCTAAGGATAATAGCCTCTGGCTCCATTCATGTCCCTGCAAAGGACATGATTTTGTTCCTTTTTATTGGATGCATACTATTCCATGTTTTGTGTTTTTTTCAGACTTCTGTCTTGTTGCTTCCCATCCTCACCAGCATTTAGTGCTTTCAGTATTTTGGATTTTAGCCATTCTAAATTTTTTTTTTTTTTTTTTTTTGAGACGGAGTCTCACTCTGTTGCCCAGGCTGGAGTATAGTGGCATGATCTCGGCTCACTGCAGCCTCTGCCTCCTAGGTTCAAACGATTCTCCTGTTTTTGCCTCCTGAGTAGCTGGGATTACAGGTGTGTGCTACCACGGCCAGCTAATTTTTGTATTTTTAGTAGAGATGGGGTCTCACCATGTTTGCCAAGCTCGTCTTGAACTCCTGACCTCAGATGACCCACCTGCCTCGGCCTCCCAAAGTGCTGGGATTACAAGTGTGAGCCACTGTGCCCAAATGGATTTTAGCCATTAGAAAAGGAATTTGCAATCCCTAATGATGCATGATGTTGGGCAAGATTTCAAATGCTTATTTTCCATCTGTATACCTTCTTTGGTGAGGTACCTGTTCAGATCTTTTGCCTTTTTGAATTGGGGAGTTGTTTTCTTATTTTTGAGTTTCAAGAGTTATATATTTTGTATATCAGACCTTATCAGTTATGTTTTGCAAATATTTTCTCCCAGCCTGTGGCTTTTTCATTCTTTCTTAAGCTTCTTAACAGAGCTTTCACAGAGCAGACCTTTTTAATTTTAATGAACTCCAATTTAATGTTTTTTTGTTTTTTGTTTTTTGTTTTTTTTTGGATGGAGTTTTGCTCTTGTTGCCTAGGCTGGAGTGCAGTGGTGTGATCTCAGCTCACTGCAACCTCCGCCTCCCAGGTTCAAGCAATTCTCTTGCCTCAGCCTCCTCAGTAGCTGGGATCACAGGCATTCACCACCATGCCTGGCTAAATTTTAATGGTTTTTATTGAAAACCAATTTATTGGTTTTCTTTTGTATTTAAGTTGTTATCCATGTTATTTTTTGTGAAAAGTATAAAGTCTGTGTCTAAAATTATTTTTTTATATGTGGATATCCATTTGTTCCAGTAACATATGTTGAAAAGACTATCCTTTTCCCCTTTGTCAAAGGTCATTTGACTATGCTTGTTATCTGTATTAGTTCCTAGGACTTCCATAACAAAGTATCACAAACTGGGTAGCTACAGAAGTTTGTTGTCTCACAATTCTGAAGGTGAGATGTCTAAAATGTTTTCAGCAGGGCCATTCTCCCTCTGAAGCCTGTAGAGGAATGATCCTTACCCATTCTGGCTTCTGGTGTTTGTTGGCAATCCTTGGCATTCCTTGGTTTGTAGATGCATCACTCCAGCCACATGGTCATCTTCTCCTTGTGTGTCTTCTCATCACATTCCCTCTGTACATGTCTGTCTCTTTCATTTTAAGCTGGCAACATTTTTTGCTAAGATGGTTGCCTGAATCTAGTCACACACCTAATCTCCAACAAACTGTTGCCCACCCATACCCTTTTCTCTACAGAGCATACATTCTTGTTTTTTTTTTTTGCAATATGGATAGAGTGAGAATTTTCTAAATTTTCAAGTTCAGATTCTTTATTCCTTTTTGCTTCATAGTTCTTGCCTCAATATGTCTCTCTCCTTGCATTTCACTGTAAGCAGCAGGAAAAGCCCAGGCTGTTCCTTCCACACTTTGCTTAGAAATCTCCTCAGCTAAAACCCAAGTTCATTGCTTCCAGGTTCTGCCTTCTGCCCAACACAACCCAATTCTAAGTTCTCTGCCACTTTTTAACAGGAATAACCTTTCCGGCCAGGCGCTGGCTCACACCTGTAATCCCAGCACTTTGGGAGGCTGAGGTGGGAGGATCATCTGAGGTCAGAAGTTCAAGACCAGCCTGGCCAACATGGCGAAACCCTGTCTCTACTAAAAATACAAAAATTAGCCATATGTGGTGGTGCAAGCCTGTAATTCCAGCTACTTGGGAGACTGAGGCGGGAGAATTGCTTGAACCTGGGAGGCAGAGGTTGCAGTGAGCCAAGATGGCACCATTGCATTCCAGCCTGGGTGACAGAGCAAGACTCCATCTCAAAGAAAAAAAAAAGAATAACCTTTCCTCCAGTTTCCAATAACACGATCCTAATTTCTGACTGAAACCTCACCATAAGTACCTTAAGTACCTTTAACGTTCATATGCTTTAGCAGCAGTTTCTTCTAGGCCTTTTCTATCAAGTACCTCAAAAGTCTTCCAGCCTCCACCTATGACCCAATAACAAAGCTGCTTACATATTTTTAGATTTTTTTGTTTTTGGTTTTTTACAGCAGCATTCACTTTCTGGTATGAAACTCTAATGGCTGTATATTGTCACATTACATGAATATACCGTAATTTTTTTAAATCATTTGTTTATTTTTGAGATAGAGTCTCACTCTGTTGTCCAGGATGGAGTGCAGTGCATGATCTCGGCTCACTGCAACCTCCACCTCCCGGGTTCAAGAAGTTTCCCTACCTTAGGCTCCTGAGTAGCTGGGACTACAGGTGTGTGCCACCACACCTGGGTAATTTTTGTATTTTTAGTAGAGATGGGGTTTCGCCATGTTGTCCAGGCTGTTCTCAAACTCCTGACCTCAAGTGATCCACCAGCTTCCACCTCCCAAAGTGCTGGGATTACAGGCATGAGCCACCGTGCCTGGCCATATATCATAATTTTTAAAAATAGTCTCCAGTTTTTGAACAGTTAGGTTTCTAGATGTTATTTCATTATTTTCTTCCTTTTCTTTTCTTTTTTTTTTTTTTTTGAGACAGTGTCTCGCTCTGTTGCCCAAGCTGGAGTGCAGTGGCGCAATGTCAGCTCACTGCAACCTCTGCCTCCTGGGTTCAAGTGATTCTTGTGCCTCAGCTCCCCCGTGTAGCTGGGATCACAGGAGTGTGCCACCACACCCAGCTTTTTTTTTTTTTTTTTTTTTAAGAGATGGGGTTTTGCCATGTTGTCCAGGCTGGTCTCGAACTCCTGGACTCAAGCGATCTGCCCACCTTGGCCTCCCAGAGTGCTGGGATTATAGGTATGAGCCACTGCACCCGGCCTATTTCATTATTAAAACAAGATTGTGATAACATTTATTGTGCATTGTTACCTTTAATACTTTTACATATTATAATACATTCTAGAAATGGAATTGTCGAAGGGTATGTAAACTTTAAACATTTGGGTACATGTTTAGTACCCATGTTCAGTGTCAGACTCTTAATCCAGGTTGTTAACATCAAGGTGACTTTTCATCATGGCATACCATTCTTGCATTAGGAATTATTAGTGGGAGATATGACTGAATTTGATTTAATTGATTTCAAGTTGTAGATCACTATTTCTGAAACCTGATCTTCTGGTATGTACGTTTGTGGAAACCCTTTCCATATTCTCGTATGTGCTTTTGTTATATGCTTTTGTAGAAGCTTGCTTGGACGTTTTAGTGTGGAGATCAGGGTATGCCATGGACTAGGGGAGAAAATATTTGTTGTTTTGTGGAATCACTATTATGGAAAGCCCCAAAGACTACTTTTGCGTCTTGTTTGTAATTGGTGTACACCTCTAGTCGTCTTCATTAACGTAAGCTAGATCGATAGACCTTTTCAGAAGTAATTGTTTTCATCAGTTATTCTAGCTAAACAGGGTTTTCTCACCTAGTTATGATTATATACTTTTGGAATAAAAATGCTTGTGAAAATATTTGAAGTTTTTCATTTAGATGAAACATTCTACTTTATCATATTTTGTTAGCAAGTATTTTGTGTTAGTAACCTAAGTCCCATTAATAATCTAAAATGTATGTAGTCTTTTGAGACTTTCAAATTAGTAGGCAAAAATACATATATACATACATATATACATATATGTATAATGTAGATCAGGCTGGGCGGGATGGCTCACACCTATAATCCCAGCATTTTGGGAGGCCAAGTGAGGAGGATTGCTTGAGGCAGGAGTTCAAGACCAGACTGAACAACATAGCAAGATCCTGTCTTTACAAAAATTTTTTTTAAAAAATTAGCTGGGTATAGTGGTATGTGCCTGTAGTCCTGGATACTTGGGGGAGGCTGAGGTGGGAGAATCCCTTGAGCCCAGGAGTTCAGTGTTGCTGTGAGCTGTGATCACATCATTGCACTCCAGCCTGGGCAACAGAGTGAGACACTGTCTCTAAAAAGAGTTAAAAATAAAATGTAGATCTTTAGTTAACAATGCTTATTTACAATGCTGTAACTGTGTAACAAGCATCACAGAGAATATAAAAGAAGGGCATGGCCTTTCTAGTCAAAATTTTACATTGTAGATGGGAATGTACAGTATTCGCAATCAGTGTGTTTACAAGGCTCTGTATAAGCAAGGTCGTATTAATAAAATTTGACTCTAGCAATACGATCTCATTAGCCATGGTGATTTGAAGGAGGAAGAATTTACCTGAAATATTTTAATTCATTGTCTCCTCATTTTAGGATTACAGTTTAAAGACAATTTCTGTGATCAAGTTGTCATTTGGAAGATTAAACCCATTTCACGAGGACTTGGAGCCTGGTCCTTGCTTTGAGGAAGCAGTGGCTTGTTTCAAGAAGCCACTTCTGATCTAAGAATCTACCCAGCATGCCTAATCAAGGAGAAGACTGCTATTTTTTTTTCTATTCCACATGTACCAAAGTAAGAATTGACATCTTTAAATCAGTTCTTTCTACAATTTGCTTAATAGAATTGGATAAGATTTTCCCAACATTTTAAGTTGTTTTTATTATATATATATTTTTTGCCCAACTTTATTATTGGCTGTCAGTTTTTTAAAGGATAATGTATTTAGGGTAATTCAGTGTTTTTTTCTTTTCATTTTATATATAACTAATTTTCCCATCTTGTACAAAAGTGAAAAGGCACGTGGCATGTAGTCATCATTCAGTGTTCAAAATTAATCTGTTCAGGGTGCCTTTGGAAATGGGGCCACTTTGACCTATGCCTTACTAACTTTGATTTTATATACTTCATATTAAATGAGTGAGTGAATAGTTAGTGAATTGTGTTGTACTTCCAGAAACTGTCATGGGTTGAATTTGACTTCTTTCTTCTCCCAGATTTCCTGCTGAGTACTAAGAATATAGAGTCATCATACTAAATATGCTTTTGCAGTTTTTTGGCTTAATCTTTGTCAAAACTTCTGTTTTTCTCCTTGATTCTTTTGCAGCTCTATTTACATATACCTATTGCTTTCTGTGATTTTATGACTAATTCTATAAACGTATATGTTAAAAAAATTTGTTCTTCAGTCATCTTGATTTTTTTTTTATTTTTATTTTTTGAGACGGAGTCTAGTTCTGTCACCCAGGCTGGAGTGCAGTGGTATGGTCTTGGCTTACTGTAACCTCCGCCTCCCAGGTTCAAGCCATTCTCCTGCCTCAGCCTCCCAAGTAGCTGGGATTTCTGGCGCCTGCCACCACACCCAGCTAACTGTATTTTTAGTACAGACAGGGTTTCACGTGTTGGCCAGGCTTGTCTTGAACTCCTGACCTTGTGATCTGCCCGCCTCGGCCTCCCAAAGTGCTGGGATTACAGGCGTGAGCCCCCACGCCCGGTGATATTATGTTTTAAATGATGAGTTTTGAGCAAAGCTGTGATAATTTTATCTTACCTATAGCAGTTTGCACAACAGTAGCGTTTTATTTCAGATATTACCGTTGCATAAAGTATGCAGTGGAGCACAGTTATATTGTATATATGTTAATTATATTTAAATTCTATTTACTTTCTGATTTTCCATCAAAAGCTAGAGTTACACAAGGCGAGATGTCAGTTTTGAAGATGAACTGTAAAATACATTTTTAAAGAGGACCTAACACTCCTACTTGTCTTTTTCAACTCTTTTTTTCAGCTTGTGTCACTCATGCCAGATCAAACGAAGGGTACTGTCAAGAAATAGGTTATAGGAAATAATTTGTTGCTCTCGGTTTGTTCCTGTCATTCCATGTCCATTGTTTTTTACCTTACCAGTCCTTTCTTACTCATTTGTGCTTGTCTAAATTCCAGGAGCTCTTGTTATGGATATTTTACCTAGGATGTATTTCAATGCTACAAATAGAGTGTTCTCTATTTGTTTACAGGGTGACAGCTGCCCATTCCGTCACTGTGAAGCTGCAATAGGAAATGAAACTGTTTGCACATTATGGCAAGAAGGGCGCTGTTTTCGACAGGTGTGCAGGTTTCGGCACATGGAGATTGATGTAAGTTTTTTATTTCCGTTATCATAATAAGTAGTCTGGAGACCTGGTGGGCCAATAAAAAATATAGGGACAAAAGTGACTTTTAAAAAATATATTAAGGCTGAGTGCAGTGGCTCATGCCTGTAGTTCCAGCACTTTGGGAGGCTGAGGCGGGTAGATCATGAGGTCAGGAGATTGAGACCATCCTAGCCAACGTGGTGAAACCCCATCTCTACTAAAAATACAAAAAATTAGCTCAGTGTGGTGGCATGTGCCTGTAATTCCAGCTACTCGGGAGGCTGAGGCAGGAAAATCGCTCGAACCAGGGAGTTGGAGGTTGCAGTGAGCTGAGATCGCACCACTGCACTCCAGCCTGGTGACAGAGCAACACTCCGTCTCAAAAAAAAAAATATATATATATACACACACACACACACACACACACACACACGTGTATATATACATATGTATATGTGTGTATATACACACACGTGTATATATGTGTGTGTATATATATACACAACTTTCCTCTATGCAATTTTTTTTTCTTTCTTTTTATTTTTTTTTTTTTGAAACGGAGTCTCACTCTGTCGCCCACGCTGGAGTGCAGTGGCGCAATCTCTGCTTACTGCAACCTCCACCTCCCAGGTTCAAGCGATTCTCCTGCCTCAGCCTCCTGAGTAGCTGGGATTACAGGCACCTGCCACCATGGCCTGCTAATTTTTGTATTTTTAGTAGAGACGGGGTTTTACCACGCAGGCCAGGCTGGGCTCGAACTCCTGACTTCAGGTGATTTACCCACTTTGGCCTCTGAAAGTGCTGGGATTACATGCGTGAGCCACCGTGCCCAGCTGACTCCAATTTTTTTTTTTTTTTTTTTTTTGAGACAGAGTTTTGCTCTTGTTGCCCAGGCTGGAGTGTAATAGCATGGGCTCAGCTTAGTGCAACCTCCACCTCCCTAGTTCAAGCGGTTCTCCTGCCTCAGCCTCCCGAGTAGCTAGAATTACAGGCATGCACTACCATGCCTGGCTAATTCTGTATTTTTAGTAGAGATGGGGTTTTGCCATGCTGGTCAGGCTGGTCTCGAACTCCTGATCTCTGGTGATCCACTTGCCTCGGCCTCCCAAAGTGCTGGGATTACAGGCATGAGCCACCGCGCCCAGCCGACTCCAGCAATTTTTTTAAAAAGATTAACATTGATATATTACCATCGTTTAATCCTTTGATCTCACTCAAATTTTGCCAGTTTTATTTTAATATCTTTTATTTTAGAAAGAGCAAGTCCAGGCTGGGCTCAGTGGCTCACGCCTGTAATCCCAGCACTTTACTAGGCTGAGGCGGGTGAATCATGAGATCAGGAGTTCGAGACCAGCCTGACCAACATGGTGAAAGCCCATCTCTACTAAAAATATAAAAATTAGTTGGGTGTGGTGGCACGCGTCTGTAATCCCAGCTATTCAGGAGGCTGAAGCAGGAGAATCGCTTGAACCTGGGAGGCGGAGGTTGCACTGAGCTGAGATTGCGCCACTCCATTCTGGCCTGGGTGACAGGGCGAGACTCCATCTCAAGAAAAAAAAAAAAAAAGCCCAAATTCAAGTGTTGCACATAGTTGTCACGACTAGTTTTGTCTCCTTCTGTTGAGAGCAGTTGCTCAGTCCTGCCTTGCGTTTCATTGCCCTTAACACTTATGGTAGCTATAGGGAAATTGTTTTTAAGAATGTTCTTCAATTTGGGTTTGTTTGTATTCCCCCTCATTACTAAATTAAGATTATATAGCTTTAGCAGGAATATCACAAATTATGTGTGTGTGTGTGTATATTTTGAGTTGAGACAGAGTCTCGCGCTGTTACCCAGGCTGGAGTGCAGTGGTGGGATCTCAGCTCACTGCGACCTCTGCCTCCTGAGTTCATGTGATTCTTGTGCCTCAACCTCTCGAGTAGCTGGGACAACGGGCATGCCTCACCACACCCGTCTAATTTTTTGTGTTTTTTAGTAGACACGAGGTTTCGCGATGTTGGCCAGGCTGGTCTCGAATTGTTGGCCTCAAGTTATTCACCTGCCTCAGCCTCCCAGAGTGCTGAGATTACAGGTGTGAGCCACGCCCGGCGAATGGTATTTTTGTTGCATATCATCCCGTGGCACACAGTTTTAATTTTCTCATTACTGGTGATGTTAACTTTGATCACTCAATTAAGATGGTATCTGCCAGATTGCTTCATTATAAAGGCTTTCTTTTTGTAATTAATAAATATTTTGTGGAGAGGTACTTTTAGACCCTTTACCCCGTTTCTCATCAGACTTCAACTTTTTCCCCGTTATTGATGTGAATTAATGCAAACTTGTGGTGATACGTTTGGCTCTGTATCCTCACCTGAATCTCACCTCTATCGTAATCCCCATGTGTTAAGGGAGGGACCTGATGGGAGGTGATTGGATCATGGGGGCGGTTTCCCCCACGCTATTCTCATGATAGTGAGTGCGTTCTCGTGAGATCTGATGGTTTAAAAGTGTGGGACTCCCTTTGCTCGCGCTCTCTTGCTGCCATGTAAGACTTGTTTGTGTCTTGCGTCCTGTTCACCTCCTGCCATAATTATAAGTTTCCTGAAGCCTCCCCAGCCATGCAGAACTGTGAGTTAGTTAAACCTTTTTTTTTTAAATAAATTTCCCAGTCTCAGATAGTTCTTTATAGCAATGTGAAAATGGACTAATACATGTGGTTTTCTATTTTAATCAGTGTGTCGTACTCTGTTACTATCATTACTTTTATGCTCCGATTGACCCAGATTTGGCAAGTAGGAGCCTTTCAAACTGATTTTTGTGTTCTTTTGATGTTTCCATCATTCTTTGAGCATCTCTGCTTTTTGGCCTGACAAGATTTTCCAGGCTCATCCTGTACTTTTCCTACTTCAGCCCTGTATTCGGCCATTTATCCAAGGTGCCCTGGTTTCTTTTAGTGAATAATGGTATATAGAAGTTAAGATTTGGGCTGCTCCTAGAGTGTCATCACTTTCAGGTCCTCTCAGTGGACAGAGCTGAGGAATATATAAATGTATACACTTAACAGACATTTACATCATTATGGTTTTTGGTTTTGTTTTTTTTTTTTTGAGACGGAGTCTTGCTCTATCACCCAGGCTGGAGTGCAGTGGCGCGATCTCCGCTCACTGCAAGCTCCGCCTCATTGGTTCACACCATTCTCCTGTTTCAGTCTCCCGAGTAGCTGGGATTACAGGTGCCCGCCACCACGCCCGGCTAATTTTTTGTACTTTTAGTAGAGATGGGGTTTCACCGTGTTAGCCAGGATGGTCTCGATCTGCTGACCTCGTGATCCGCCCGCCTTGGCCTCCCAAAGTCCTGGGATTACAGGTGTGAGCCACCGTGCCTGGCCCTATGTATTTAATAATAGATACATAGTATTACAAATTATGAGTTCATATAGATGCTTCCAGTTCATCAATGCCACAGGACTTAGTCTAGACTTCTCCTTTTCCATACCTGTAACTCTTCTCCAGAAGTGAGAAACTTGGTTTTCATTGTTCATAATACTTTTATTTATTTGATCAGTCTACTAGTATAAAAACCAATATTGTGTCACAGCTTTTTCCTTCCTCTCAGGCTCTGACATGACACACACAGCTTCTCCACAAGGACACCTTTCTCACCATGTTTCAACTCTAGTACTCTGTGCTAAGCCTCCCTGCTTGCTTTACCATAGGGACCTCTTTCTCACCCTGCTTGGACCCCAACATCCTACTTTTGACCCCCAACACGATCCCTATAATGGATACTGTTTTCACACCTTTGGGCTGTGATACTTTGTGCTGAGCGGCCCTCACATGTGAGATGCTGTCCTGACCCTGCGCACATACTCCAACTCTGTACCAGGTTCCCTTGGGAATACCCTGCCTTCCTAACCCCACTTGGTCTTTGATGCCATTCTAGACTGACCCTACATGAGTATATATTCTTCATCCTACATTGTGATCTCTTCTGCACAGAGACATTGCTAACCCTGCTCAGGCTCAACACTTGTCAGGGTACCCTTTCATGCACATGTCCTCTTAACCCTCCAACCCTCCGTGGGTTCCAACACCCTATGCCAGTTCCACATGGTCATGTGGATACCTTCCTATTCTCAGTCAGACTCCAATACCCTGCTCTGGGCCACCATGTCCTTCCCTTCTCCCATCTGAATGCCTGTCTCCCTCAACCCCATCTAATGACTTTGGACTGAATTGTTAGAGTGAGACTAAATATGCAGTTCATGTGCCTGGGGTCAGCTACTCCAGTCTGGTTTTGTATTTCTTGTCTCTTAACTACATTCTAAGCTACCTATCTTGCAAATAGCAGCAGATATCAAATAAATTGATAAAGGAGTACTCTGCAACTTTTATATTTTATGTTATAACATGAAAAGTCAATGTTGTAACATTTTTAGTGGAGTGTATATTGGCACAGCTCCTATGGAGGGTATGGCAGTGTCTCCAGGAGCATCTCTTCATTTAGAGATTCTCTAGGATGTATTCAGAGTTGAGATTTATTGCAGCAATAGAGTAAAGACACTGTCAGATCATAAGAGAAAAAGACACTGGAGGAATCTGGAAGAATCCGTGTGCCTGTTTTTTTATGCCCACTCCCTTTAGGGGTGACACAGAGCACACTCTTTTCCTAGTCATGAAAATGCAGCAATGCATGTGTGGTATTCCTGCCCAGGGAAATCCATTAGAGACTCAGCATCCAGGATTTTCATTGGTGCTAGCCATATAAGCACTCTTTACCAAACATGTACCCAAATTCCAGACTCCCAGAAGGAAGGCAGATGTTCAGCATTAACCATATTGTTTGTACAAACAGTCTAGGCATACTGAGCCTTCTCCCTTCCCCACTTACCAATTAACTTGGAGCGTCTAAAAGCCAAGGTCCCAGATGCTAGCCAAGAGCAAGCCTTGCAAGCAGGCATTTCTAAGGACAGTAGTCTAAGAGCTGCTATGCTAACTCTTTTCTGCACTGAGGCTTATTGGCTGTATTGCTTGAAAGAACTAAATACTTATACTTTTTACACATAGGTATTTACCTGCAAAATAAGATGTGTGCAGAATTGCTTATTGTAGCAATTTGTAATAGTAAAATACTGGAAATAACCTAACTATCCTTCATTTAAAATAAGGTTTTACTACATTCATACTGTAGAGTGCCAGGTAGCTGTTAACAAAAAATTTTAAAGGGGAAACTAATTTATTGATACGGAAATAATCAGGATATATTGTCAAGTGAAAAACCTAAGGTGAAGAGCAAGGTGGGTTAAAAAAGGAGAGGGAAGCCGGGCGCCGTGGCTCATGCCTGTAATCTCAGCACTTTGGGAGGCTGAGGCGGCTGGATCACCTGAGGTCAGGAGTTTGAGACCAGCTGGCCAACACAGTGAAACCCCGTCTCTACTCAAATTACAAAAATTAGTCGGGCGTGGTGACGCAGCCATGTAGTCCCAGCTACTCAGGAGGTTGAGGCAGGAGAATCGCTTGAACCTGGGAGGTGGAGATTGCAGTGAGCCGAGATTACACCACTGTACTCCAGCCTGGGCTACACAGTAAGACTCCCATCTCAAAATTAAAAAAAAAAAAAAAAGAGGGAAAATAATTTATATTTGTTTTTCACTTGCATATGAATTTTAAAAATCTCTGGAAGTATAAAGGTGAAACTTAACAACAGTGGCTATGGGAAGGTGTCAGGGATGAGAAGGAGTCTTTTTATCATGTACCCCTTCTGTGTGCAATTCATTTTCATTATTCATTGGTTCCATATTTGCGAATTTGCCTACTTGCTAAAATTTATAACCCCCAAATCAGTACTTGGCCATTCGTAGGCATGTTCAGAGCAGCAAAAAATTTGAGTCATCTGACATGTGTCACATTGGTTCACAAATTGAGTCACATTTCCAGGTGAGGCGGAACAGAGCTCTGCCTCCTTCTGATACTGTAAACAAGTGTCCTTTTCATGATGTATTTGGTTCCACGGCTTTTGGTTGGTGGTGGTGCTGCTTAAAATGGCTCCTAGGCCTATTGCTCAAGTGCTTTGTAGTGTTGCTGAGTAGAAGAAAGCTGTGATGTGTCTTATAGAGAAAATAGATTGTTAGGCCGGACACGGTGGCTCACGCCTGTAATCCCAGCACTTTGGGAGGCTGAGGCAGGCAGATCATCTCAGGAGTTTGAGACCAGCCTGGACAACATGGTGAAACCCTGTCTCTACTAAAAATACAAAAAAATTAGCCGGGCATGGTGACACGTGCCTATAATCCCAGCTACTCGGGAGGCTGAGGCAGGAGAATTGCTTGAACCCTGGAGGTGGAGGTTTCAGTGAGACAAGATTGTGCCACTGCACTCCAACCTGGGCAACAGAGCGAGACTCCGTCTCAAAAAAAAAAAAAAAAAAAGAAAATAGATGTTAGATAAGCTTTGTTCAAGTGTGAGTTACAGTGCTATTTGTCTTGCGTTTCATATTAATGAATGAACAATATTAAATGCACCCAAAACAAAGTTATGTATTGATTAGTTGATGAAAATGTGACCAGAGGCCCACAGGAACCCAACTCTATTTCCCTTAGGAATAATGGTTTAGTATTTACTAATTCAGTGTTCCAAGTGACTTTATAGAACATAACTACTGCAAATAATGAGAATCAACTGTTTTATCTTTGGATCATGTGCTGTATTACTGTTAAAAATGTGAAGACATAATTATGTAGGAGAAATATTACTGTGGAGGATTTTTTTTTTTTTTTTTTTTTTTTGAGGTGGAGTCTCACTCTGTCACCCAGGCTGGAGTGCAGTGGCTCCATCTTGGCTCACTGAAACTTCCACCTCCCGGGTTCAAGTGATTCTCCTGTCTCAGCCTCCCGCATAGCTGGGACTACAGGCGCCCTCCACCATGCCCAGCTAATTTTTGTATTTTTTAGTAGAGACGGGGTTTCACCATATTGGTCAGGCTCCTGACCTCAGGTGATCAACCCACCTTGGCCTCCCAAAGTGTTGAGATTACAGGCGTGAGCCACCACGCCTGGCATGTGGAGGATATTACTAAGGAAAAATGTACAGAATTACATGGAATACCTTTCTTTTTAGTATGCATATAGTCACTTGTGATTTTTTTTTTACAAGTAAAAACTCATACCAAAATAAGTGATTCTCTGGGTAATAGCATAATTGGCATTTATTTCCATTTTCCAAGTTGTCTTCGTTGCACATATATTACTTTTCAATTAGAAACAAAATCTAGCAAATGTATTAAACAGATCAAATAAATGTCATGTGACTTCTGTGTATAGAAGATACTGTTACAGAAGTCATTCAGTAATTTGAAAATTGCTTCCAGGAAAGATGTAAAATTTAAGCAAAGGTAGGCTTAGGAACAAGGAAGATTGGCATTAGGTTCTGCCTTGAGAAAGGAAGAATTGAATAATTGTTATTCCTGTCTAAAAAACAGTGGTAGCTATTACATCTACCTTTCGGGTGTGACAGAGGACTAATAAATTCTTCCTAGTTCTTTGAAAGTAACGGTATTTGCTGTACTTTTATTTTTACTTTATTTTTACTGCTCCTTGTGGAGCAGGGCCACTCTATAGGTAGTGTGCCCACAGTAGCCTATACTTTTAAAAAATATTATACTTTTAGAAAATATCAATAATATTAAAATTAATAAATAAATATTGATTAATAATAATTAATTCTTTTTAAAAATTATACTTTAAAAATATTAATAGGTAATTATGCATATGACATAAACTTAGAACATAGTTTTAAAAAACTGATTTTGCCAAATCACCTTTCAGAGATGTGGAGCAAATTTACATTTCCATTATGTGTTTGAGACTGCCTGATTCTTCCACGTCCCTGAAAACAGTGTATAATTGAATTTTATCACTCTCTCAATATAGTAGATTTTGACCTTTGCCCTTTTTGATACATTTAAGCATCTTTTTGTAATGGTTATTGTTTCTCTGTCTCTCTTCTCCATATTCTTAAATTTCAATGCTGGTGTTTTTTCCTGGAATTTTAAACCATAGGCTGTTTATGATGATTAGAGATTCGACATAATGCAGTTCATCGGAGGTTAGTTAGTTTTTGGGAGTACTTCTCATATCTTTTTTCCCCCTTTTTTGAACTATTAAAATGTATCTAGAAAAGTGCAAAATCGTAATCTTACAACTTGAAGAATTTTCATAGAGTGATTATACTTACTTGATCAGCACCTAGTTCAAGAAATAGAGTATTAGCAGTAATCTATCTTCCCCTTCATCCCCTTGTTACTAACCACATCCCCAAAGCTGATCAGCATCCCAACTACTCTACCATGGAGAAGTTTTGACTGTTTTCATCTTTTCATAAATGGAATGGTATAGTATGCACTCTTGTGTCTGGCTTCTTTCATTTCACATCTGTGGCATTGAGTATAGCAATGGTTTATTCCTTCTCATTACTAGATGATATTCTGTTGTACGAATACTTTACAGTTTCTTTATCCATTCTAGTATTGATGTACACATGGGTTTGCAAAATTATAGAGCTATTGAAAATAATATTGCTGTGAACATTGCTTATACACAGCTGTTGGAGAACTAATGTATATATTTTTCTAGGACATACATCCTATGATTCAGCAGTTTATTCTATTCTAGATGCACAGGTATTCTTTTTTTTTTTTTTTCTCCCAATTTTCCTTTATAAAAGTAAGGTGACTGGCCGGGTGCGGTGGCTCACACCTGTAATCCCAGCACTTTGGGAGGCTGAGGCGGGCGGATCACGAGGTCAGGAGATCAAGACCATCCTGGCTAACATGGTAAAACCTCTTATCTACTAAAAATACAAAAAAAATTAGCCGAGTGTGGTGGCAGGCACCTGTAGTCCCAGCTACTCTGGAGGCTGAGGCAGGAGAATGGCGTGAACCCGGGAGGCGGAGCTTGCAGTGAGCGGAGATCGCGCCACTGCACTCCAGCCTGGGTGACAGAGCAAGACTCTGTCTCAAAAAAAAAAAAAAAGTAAGGTGACTTGGGAAGGATACCTAACATCCTTAGTGTGTTGTTATAGGTGCCTTACTTTGAGAATTCATGAATGGGAAGAATTTTCTCAAACCCTTGAACTCTCAGCTTCAAGTAATAACTGCAGTTTATTGAGTTTGACCTATGTGCTTAGTGCTTTATATACATTATTTTATGTACTCTTCATAAGAAACCATTTATTCCCGTTTTATAGCTAAGGAAAGTGAGGCTTAGAGGCATGAATTATCCAAGGCCACCTGGCCAATAAGTAACATAATAGAGATTCAGACCGTTATCTTTGATTTCATAAACTTAAACTACTGTATCATCCTGCTTCTCTAAATTAAGTGTAGACATTTTAGGGGTTCCAGGATGAGGGTAAAAAGGGAAAGAATAACATAAACTACTCTCCTGCTCCATTCAGCTCTCCATCATGCCTAAGTTATGTTATTTTCAGCAATCTCTCTTCCTTCTAAAAATCATCTCATCTCACATGCCTCGGATTTTTGAACCCTGTATGAACTTTGTCTAGAAAACAAACTGCCACATGAATATACGTATCACTGTTTTATTTGAAAGCAATGTGTTTTTCCCTCTTACAGAAAAAACGCAGTGAAATTCCTTGTTATTGGGAAAATCAGCCAACAGGATGTCAAAAATTAAACTGCGCTTTCCATCACAATAGAGGACGATATGTTGATGGCCTTTTCCTACCTCCGAGCAAAAGTGAGATCAGTTTTTAATTTTAAAAGAATATCAAATGAACACCTATTATGCACACTGTACAACAGTACTTTTCAGACATTGACTCCTTTCAGTCTTGTGAAACAGCAGAATTATTTCCACTTTACAGATAAGTGAACTGAATCTTATTAAGGTTAAATGATTTATCCTTGGCCTTAGAACCATTATATATCTTGGCATGCCATTTAAGTTATTATACTTACTTCATTTCTCATATTCTTATCAGACCCATAAACGTTTTCAAAATAAATTTGATTTTCTAGGTCAAAGGTTGGCAAAACTGGTCCTCTGCCTGTTTTGTAAAATAAGTTTTATTGGAATATAGCCTTGCCCATTCATTTACATATTTTCTATTATCAGTTTTGTGCTAGTGCTATAGAATTGAGTAGTTGAGACAGAAACCATATGGCCCACAAAGCCTAAATTATTAACTGGCTCTTTACAGAAAATATTTGCCAACCCTACTCTAGACTATAATCTAAAATAAAACTAAAAAGCTAGTGGTTATTCCCAAAGTTCATTTTAAAGTAATTTAAAAGTGGAATTGGCCATTTAAAAGCCACAGTTGCTACGTGATTAAAATTTGATGGCTACATCTTTTTACCTCAATTTAAGGGAAAAAAGTAGACTTATTCCTTTCTGGTTTGGTTCAAGTAAGTGTCATATGCTTGGGTCTTAGAAGCTACTTCTTTGCTGAGCAAAAAGCCTAGAATTGCAGTATTAAAATTAAAGGTCTAGAATTTGTGAACAGGTACTATGCTTCTTCTAGTCTTCTGTTGATTCTGTTTTGAGTGCCCACTTTGTGTTTATGTACAGTGGAGAGTTAGTGGAGAGTTAATTAGGTAAAAGCACATCTTTTCCCTCCCTGGGACTTTAGAACTTAAATGAGGAAATTTAGTATAAATGCTCATAAGACAAATACACTATAGTTTTCATAGGTGGTCAGGAATTTTTGGTAAGTTGGGGTTGTATCTTCTGTTTTTAATTTATGACTGATTTTGTGCGTTTAGCTGTGTTGCCCACTGTGCCTGAGTCACCAGAAGAGGAAGTGAAGGCTAGCCAACTTTCAGTTCAGCAGAACAAATTGTCTGTCCAGTCCAATCCTTCCCCTCAGCTGCGGAGCGTTATGAAAGTAGAAAGTTCCGAAAATGTTCCTAGCCCCACGCATCCACCAGTTGTAATTAATGCTGCAGATGATGATGAAGATGATGATGGTAAGTTCTGTCTGGCTCCTTCTTTAAGGCAAATAAATAGGGTCTCATAGTGAATTGGGCAGAATCAGGATTAAAGCTATAGGCGTATTTTTAATTGTGAATTTGCCTTAAATGTTGATATATAGATCAGTTTTCTGAGGAAGGTGATGAAACCAAAACACCTACCCTGCAACCAACTCCTGAAGTTCACAATGGATTACGAGTGACTTCTGTCCGGAAACCTGCAGTCAATATAAAGCAAGGTAAGAAGAGGCTAGATTGGTGCCTCTTATAGCACTGTTGAAACTACCTTTGAAATTTAGTTCACAATCATTGACCTCCCTCTTCTTTTTCCCATGCTACACGCATACTTACCTATACTTAGTTTCTGTTGATCATTTATTCAAAAATAAATGCCTGCTATGTACAGATAAAATACAAAGATGAAAAGGCTCCCGTTCCTCATAAAATTTCTATTTGAATTTTCAGGTGAATGTTTGAATTTTGGAATAAAAACTCTTGAGGAAATTAAGTCAAAGAAAATGAAGGAAAAATCTAAGAAGCAAGGTGGTAAGTCATCACGTTTTGGCATGGATAGTTGTATGTTGCTAGGGAAGAATACTAAGGACGCTTCTAGAAGCAACAGCCAAAATGAGCAAATAGATTTTCATTTCCATGGCCTGTTTGAAGTAAAACACAGACTTATTTAAATTGTGGTTGCTTTTAATTCACTGCAGCTGTGTTTCAGTCCCTAACTTTTCAGAGCTGGGTACAATAAAGAATCTGAAAGAACTTGTATATCTTGAAAAATATAGCTCTGAAGAACATCATATAAGAACTATATTAATTCTGTAAGTTCTTATAGTGGTTAAAAAGAAATTATATTAAGAGAGGAAAGGCTGGGCGTGGTGGCTCACGCCTGTAATCCCAGCACTTTGGGAGGCCGAGGAGGGCGAATCATGAGGTTGGGAGATCCAGACCATCCTGGCCAACATGGTGAAACCCCGTCTCTACTAAAACAAAAAATTAGCCAGGCGGGGTGGCATGCACCTGTAGTCCCAGCTACTCGGGAGGCTGAGGCATGAGAATTGCTTGAACCCAGGAGGCAGAGGTTGCAGTGAGCTGAGATCGCACCATTGTATTCCAGCCTGGCGACAGATCAAGACTCTGTCTCAAAAAAGAAAAAAAAGGAAAAACGTCATTTTCTAGTAGAAGAGTTCTTCCTCAAGAGCTGCTAGGATTTTCTTCTGGAGCTTACGTCAGCCTGATTGCTCTGTATTTCCAACCCCCAATTTTTTTTTTTTTTTTTTTTTTTTTTTTTTTTTTTTTTGAGACAGAGTTTTGCTTTTGTTGCCAGGCTGGAGTGCAATGGCGCAATCTTTGCTCACCACAACCTCCACCTCCCAGTTCAAGCTATTCTGCTGCCTCAGCCTCCTGAGTAGCTGGGATTACAGGCATGCGCCACCACGCCTGGGTAATTTTGTATTTTTGGTAAAGACAGGGTTTCTCCATGTTGGTTGGGCTGGTCTCGAACTCCCAACCTCAGGTAATCCACTGCGCCCAGCCCCCAGCCTTAAAATTTATAGTGTGAAGTGTAGTATATATAGAGAGAAATGGTTCTAAAAACCTTCTTTTAAGGCTTGCTTTATAGCAACCTTGGAGTTGTGTTTTCAGATGATTAAATAGAATAGGTTGGATTGATACACCTGATGGCTAGTGTACCTCTGAGGTTAATTTTAGAATAATACTAGCTTTATTGGTAAATATTAGCCTTATTGGTAAATAAAAGTAGTTTGGGTGCCTAAGTCACTCAAAATAATTTTATATTTTGTTTTCACATCATGCCCAAGGCTCCCCTCACCACTACTCCATTTGACTGTAGGCAAACAGATACAGAAAGGCTGATTGGCTTATAGTCATAATATCAGTCTGTATTGGACTTAACTGGTTACAAAAACAAATTTTTTGACTTGGGATAGCATTATTTTCCATAAATTATTTGCTGTTCTTTGACTTGCCTTATTCAGAGGGTTCTTCAGGAGTTTCCAGTCTTTTACTCCACCCTGAGCCCGTTCCAGGTCCTGAAAAAGAAAATGTCAGGACTGTGGTGAGGACAGTAACTCTCTCCACCAAACAAGGTAAGGTATAGATAGGTCTTAGAGTTGTCAAGCCTCTACTTTTATATAATTGGGAATGCAAAATCCTTGGGTATCTTTTACCTTTGATGAATTTTCAGGAATTTGTTAGTATGCTGATGAGATAATCTAAAGATGAAAAGTTGGTACATTCAACTCTAATATTTAAAAGGTTGAAATTCTTTGTCAAGCAGCCCTCACATATATTTTTCCATTTACTGTTTATATCCACTCAATACATTTATTGGCTTCCCATGTGACTAAAGAATAATAGGTATATATAATAAAGTTTTTTATTTATTTCTTTGAGACAGAGTTGCACTCCTGTTGCCTAGGCTGGAGTGCAATGGCATGATCTCAGCTCACCGCAGCCTCCGTCTTCTGGGTTCAAGCAATTTTCGTGTCTCGGCCTCCCAAGTAGTTGGGATTATAGGCATGTGCCACCAAGCCCGGCTGATTTTTTTGTATTTTTAGTAGAGACGGGGTTTCTCCATGTTGGTCTGGCTGGTCTCAAACTCCCGACCTCAGGTGATCCGCCCGCCTTGGCCTCCCGAAGTGCTGGGATTACAGGTGTGAGCCACCGTTCTTGGCCATTAATTTTTTTTTTTTTTAGATGGAGTCTTGCTCTGTCGCCCAGGCTAAAGTGCAATGGTGCGATCTCCACTCACTGCAACCTCCGCCTCCCAGGTTCAAGTGATTCTCCTGCTTCAGCCTCCCCAGTAGCTGGGATTATAGGCACCCGCCACCACGCCTGGCTAATTTTTGTATTTTTGGTAGAAACGGGGTTTCACCATGTTGGCCACACTGGTCTTGAACTGCTGGCCTCAAATCATCTGCCTGCCTCAGCCTCCCAAATTGCTGGGATTATAGGTGTTAGCCACCACACCCGGCCTGTAACGAAGTATTTTCACTTAATAATTTTAAGCCTAATAAGGAATTATAGATATAGATATATTTAAATGTTTGTGCAATTCAAACAACAAAGAATTAGAAGAAAGAGAGCTCACTTCTTCCTGAGGTGATCAGAGATAGTTATATTGGACAGTTAACATCGGAGTAGAGTACAGTTTCATTCAACATATCAAAGTGCATAAGCAAAAGGATAGTTTCAGCTTTATAACCAATTGGTTAAGAATACAATCTGTCTTATACTCGACTGCTATTAATAATTAGTACTATTCTAGGCTGTGCGCAGTGGCTTACATGTATAATCCCAGCACTTTGGGAGGCTGAGGCGGGCGGATCGCTTGAGGCCAGGAGTTCAAGACCAGCCTGGCCAACATGGTGAAACCCTGTCTCTACTAAAAATACAAAAATTAGGCTGGGTGTGGTGGCTCACGCCTGTAATCCCGGCACTTTGGGAGGCCGAGGCGGGCAGATCACAAGGTCAGAAATTCGAGACCAGCCCGACCAACGCGGTGAAACCTTGTCTCTACTAAAAATACAAAATTTAGCTGGGCATGGTGGTGCACGCCTGTAATCCCAGCTACTCAGGCTGAGGCAGGAGAATCGCTTGAACCCGGGAGGTGGAGGTTGCAGTGAGCCGAGATCGGGCCACTGCACTCTAGCCTGGGCGACAGAGTGAGACTCTGTCTCAAAAAAAAAAAAAAAAAAAACACCAGGTGTGGTAGTGTGCGCAGTAGTCCCAGCTACTTGGGAGGCTGAGACAGGAGAATTGCTTGAACCCAGGAGGTGGAAGTTGCAATGAGCCAAGATGGCACCACTGCACTCCAGCCTGAGTGACAGAGCAAGAGTCTATTATTATTATCAAAATAATAATAATAATTAGTACTATGCTATTGCTTCTGTTTAGGCTGTATGTTTGGCTGTTTATTATTAATAGGTTTGGGTTTTTTTTTTTTTTTTTTGATATAATGGCCTTCCTTAAGACTGAGACCTGATTTTCAAGAGACTTTCTGGGTGGATTTACACTAATATCAGAACATACTTTGTACCCATTAGTAGTTACTGAATACAGAAAAATTGACTAAGGATAGAGAAATTCTGCTTTTGCCATTTCAGGAGAAGAACCCTTGGTTAGATTGAGTCTTACTGAGAGACTGGGGAAACGAAAATTTTCAGCAGGTAAGATAAGTTTTGTGTATATCTTTTCTTTTCTACTTGTTTGTGCATTAACATGATAGCTTCTCCAAACTCTTTTTATACAGATCTTTGTTATTGGTGCCCCTGTATTGGCTGAAAGCACTTATAAATTCCTCATGTTTTCATGAGTGCATTATACCTTTTATTGAAGATACAGAGATTTAAAGTGTTACAATTGAACTAGATTATGACCATGACCAGCGTTTTGGAAGGAACTAGATTTTAAAAATGGTAAAGAACACCTCTATTTCTCTGAACAAATTTAAATGTGAGTTTTTAGAGGCGAGAAAAATGATTGGTTAATATAATGTGTGTCTCTTAGAATACAGGAATCCCTAAGAAGAAAGAAGAAAGTATGTATATATAAAATTTGAGTCCTTGAGTCTATTGGTGCTTGCTTATTTATTTATTTATTTAGAGACAAGAGTCTTGTTTTGTTACCCAGGCTGGAGTGCAGTGGTGCAATCTCAGCTCACTGCAACCTCCACCTCCTGGACTCAAGTGATCCTCCTGCCCCAGCCTCTCAAGTAACTGGGACCATAGGCCTACACCACCATACCTGGCTAATTTTTGTATTTTTTATAGTGATAGGGTTTCACCATGTTGCCCAGGCTGGTCTCCAACTCCTGGGCTCAAGTGATCTGTCGGCCTTGGCCTCCCAAAGTACTGCAATTACAGGCATGAGATACCATGCTTGGCTGCTATTTTATTTTTGGGGGAGTACTTTACCATATTAGTAAATTGTTGTATAACTACCCTAACGTGTCTGACTCCAAAAAATTATTATTATCATTTGAAACGAGAGTCTTGCTCTGTCGCCCACGCTGGCGTGCACTGGCACAATCTCAGCTCACTGCAACCTCCACCTCCTGGGTTCAAGTGATTCTCCTGCCTCAGCCTCTCAAGTAGCTGGGATTACAGGCACTACCCCTGGCTAATTTTTGTATTTTTAGTAGAGATGGGGTTTCCACCATGTTGGCCAGGCTGGTCTCGAACTCCTGCCCTCAGGTGATCCACCCGCCTCTGCCTCCCAAAGTGCTGGGATTATAGGCATGAGCCACTGCTCTGGCCTTCAAAAAATTATTTTGAAAATTTTTTCTGACTTCAGAATTTTCTTCATACTGTTTTAAATGTCCTAAAAAGGAAACCTTATCTATCTCTATTTTGTGTTGTCTTTGATGCAGTTCTCACTACCCTATCTTCAGAACCGTTCTGAACTTAGTCACATTTCAAAGTTTCAGACAGTGAGAGATGGGAATGTATTGTTGAATCAGTTATGCACTTTACGCTCTAAGTAATAAAAAACTTTCAGCGATGAGATAATGCCCATGAATGAAATTAATATTTGCTGTGGCTTTGCTGTATATCAAAGAACATTATGTAAATTCTCATCGAATCCTTGGCAACCATGAGTAAACCATGCACAATGCTTGGCACTTGATATCAGTAAATATTTTCTGCACTGAGCTCAAACTCAGGAAGGGTTAAATAACTTGCCTAAGGTTATAGTCAGATGAATACATTACACGTTATACAGTCATTTACGAAAAAAGCTTAGAAGAGACAGAAATGAGGCAGTCTTTAGAAATCTCTTCTAGCTGTAAATCAAGAAACAATAACAGTTCTAGATTTTAAGAGCAGTATTTTATTTTTGTTTATTTATTTATTTACAATAGCGCAAATCCACTTTTACTGACTTTTCATTAGCTTAAACCCTTGTGGTGTACAGCGTCACTCAGATTCTGTGTCCAATAGCATTAGCAGGAAGATTGCTTTGGAATTTGGCATGAACCACACCACTGTTTCCATGGGCTTGAGTTACCTTTCCCCAGATGACTCTGGTTTTGTTTGGTTTGCCACCAGGAGTCACTGTGTTGTCCTTTGCTTTGTATACATAAGCACATCTCTTGCCCAAATAGAATTTTGTTTCATCTGGGGCATAAACACCTTCAATTTTAAGAAAAGCTATGTGCTCCCTTTTTTTCCGGAGACCCCACTTATAGCCAGCAAAAATGCCCTTGGACCACAGCCTTCCAGACATACTTCCTTTAAGAAGTCCTGTTCCCAGGAGGCCTCCACAGGATCCAAGATGGTGGGGAGAGCTAAGAGCAGTATTTTAATATCTCAGCATGTATTTAGAGTACAAACCAAACCAGGGTTCCAAATTAATAGGACTTTCAGCTTGGATAAAGCTGATCTAGAAATTTTAGGTAGAAAAAAATAATACTAAGCCAGGTATGGTGGTGCATGCCTGTCATCCCAGCTGCGTGGGCAGCTGAGGTTAGAGGATCCCTTGAGTCCAGGAGTTTGAGTCCAGTCTGGGCAACATAGCAAGACCCTGTCTCTAAAAATAATAATTAAAAGTTCTTAAAATATAGAAATGAGCTGTTTTAACATCAGCATACCTGTAAACTTTGTGATGGTTTTATATTTAAATTATAAATGAGGGGAGAGAAACAATCATACTCTGTGTAGGGTCTTTTGAAGCTTTGATACCTTGCAAACAATGTAACTTCAGTCAAGTAATCTAAAAAACCGTTTTTAAAAACTGGTGACTTTTAAACAACTTGTATTGAACAGTGTAATAAAACTAGAAGGCTGGGCGCGGTAGCTTACGCCTGTAATCCCAGCACTTTGAGAGGCTGAGGCAGGTGGATCACAAGGTCAGGAGTTCGAGACCGGCCTGATCAACATGGTGAAACTACTAAAAATACAAACATCTCTACTACAAAAAAGTCTACTAAAAATACAAAAATCAGCCAGGCATGGTGGCATGCGCCTGTAATTCCAGCTACTCGGGAGGCTGAGGTAGGAGAATCGCTTGAACCCGGGAGGTGGAGGTGGCAGTGAGCTGAGATCTTCCCACTGCACTCCAGCCTGGGCGAAAGAATGAGACTCCGTCTCAGAAAGCAGCTAGAATTAGGAAACTTGATTTAGGTCTTGGCTGTATCACTAACTAGTTGATGACTTGGGTAAGATACAGAATATTTCAGAACCTTAGATTTCTTTTCTAGAATTGGAGAGAGAGGGGTTATGTGGCTCTTAAAGTCTTCATACTAAAAAACTTAAAATTTAATAATTCTTAACCTGTCTTCCTCATCCTGTATGCATTTACTTAATTCAGCAGCTGACCAGTTAAGATTTTTGGGGGGGCCTGGCATAGTGCTGTAATCCTAGCATTTGGAGGCTGAAGTGGGCAGATCACCTGAGCTCAGGAGTTCAAGACCAGCCTGGGCAACATGGCAAACCCTTGTCTCTACTAAAAATACAAAAATTAACCAGGCATGGCATGTGCCTATAGTCCAGCTACTTGGGAGGCTGAGGTGGGAGGATCGCTTGAGCCTAGGAGGTGGAGGTTGCAGTGAGCTGAGATTGCACCACTGCACTCCAGCCTGGGTGACAGAGTGAGATCCTGTCTCAAAAAAAAAAAAAAGGGTTCTTTTGTACATGAAGATTTTTCACATTTCTAATTCTGAACTTTAATCTCAACCAGGGTTTATGACCTTTCATTTGTAGGTTTGTCAGTTAATTTATTTGGTAAATGTTTGTGTATTCTAATTTTTTGTTCTTTCCCTTGTCTCTCTTTTTTTTTTTTTCTTGAGAATGGGGCCTTGCTGTATCGCCCAGGCAGGAGTGTAGTATTATGATCATAGCTCAGTATTATGATCATAGCTCACTGTAGCCTTTCTACCTCCTGGGCTCAAGTGATCCTTCTGCTTCAGCCTCCTAAGTAGCTGGGACCACAGGTGTGTGCCACCATGCCTGACTATTTTTTATTTTAATTGTTTTAGAGACAAGGTCTTGCTGTGTTGCCCAGGCTGGTCTCGAACTCCTGGCCTTAAGTGATCCTCCTGCCTTGACCTCCCAAAGTGCTGAGATTACAGGCCTGAGCCACTGCACCTTGCCTTCCTTACCTCTTTTCTCCGACATTTTTATGTTTCTAACATTGAACTCTAAGGAAGCTGGTGAACAAACACGCCATATGTATGCAGAACACTTAACAGAATTATGCTATGTTGTCTGTTTTTGTTTGTATTTCTTGTCCTTGCTGAAGATTGACTTGAAATCTTAAACTAAGTTCTCCCTCTTTATAGGCGGTGACAGTGATCCTCCATTAAAGCGTAGCCTGGCACAGAGGCTAGGGAAGAAAGTTGAAGCTCCAGAAACTAACATTGACAAAACACCAAAGAAAGGTACCTGTGTTCTTACATACTTTGTGTGTGTATGTAATTATGACACTTGTGTCTTGTAATGCTAACAGCTATGGTTTTTCATTCTTTTGTTCAGGTAAATAGGTTATCTTGTATTTGTTATATTATTCACTCAACAAACATTTGATCCTTAGTCTGCTAGATTCTGGGTAGACACCATTGAAAAAAACACCGTCACACTCCTCAGGAGCTTATAGTATAAATGGCAGGTAGGAATACTTATAAATGCGATAAATTTTGTAACAGAGAAAAGTACACAGTGTTATGGTAACACATAGGAGAGGCATCTATTATTACCATCTGTTAGGGGAAGGTTCACAGAAGAAGTTATGTTAAAGTTTAGACCTAAGACATGAGTTAGAAATTAGCCAGGTGAAGTTCGAGAGCCAGAGACTGTGTCTCAGGCAGAGAGAATAACTCCTGCAAAGGCAGAGCTAAGAGTGGTATGCTCAAGGAACTGCATATGGCTGAAACATAGAAATGGGCTGAAGAGTGTGGTGACTAGATCATAATATAGTCTTTAAGCCATGTTAGAAAGTTTGGACTTATTCTAAGATAGTAACAACCCATTGAAAGGTTATAAACAGGCCGGGCACGGTAGGTCATGCCTGTAATCCCAGTACTTTGGGAGGCCGAGGTGGGTGGATCACCTGAGGTCAGATGTTTGAGACCAGTCTGGCCAACATGGCAAAACCCCATCTTTACTAAAAATACAAAAAAATTAGCTGGGCAGGGTGGCACGCACCTATAATCCCAGCTACTTGGGAGGCTGAGGCAGGAGAATTGTGTGAACCTGGAAGGCGGAGGTTACAGTGAGCCAAGATCAGTCACCACTGCACTCCAGCCTGGGTGACCGAGTGAGACTTCATCTCAAAAAAAAAAAAAAAAAAAAAGAAAGAAAGAAAGGTTATAAACAAGGATCACAGGCTCAAATGTGCATTTTAAAACCATTACCTTGCCTGCAATATGGAGACAGATTAGAAGGGGGCAAGCATGCTGGCGTGGAGATGAGTTGGCAGGCTGTTAAAATAATCTAGATAAGACGAGGTAGTGGCATAGATTTGGTATTTTGGAAGTTGATTTGGAGACGTGGACTAAATCAAGAGATAGCTGGGAGTTAGATTTTTGTTTTGTTTTGTTTGTTTAAAGACAAGGTTTCACAGTGTTGCCTAGGCTGGATTCAAATTTCTGGCCTCAAGCCATCCTTCTTCAGCCTCCCAAGTAGCTGGAAGTACAGGAATGCACTATTGCGCCCCTCAGGGAATTAGAATTCTTTATAGTTGAAGGAGAGCAAAAAGCCAAGGTTAGATTTATGTTTTTTCTGCTTGTATGACTTGCAGTGAAACACTGGCGTTAAATTATTAAAGAATAGGTGTTTTTTTCCTTCTCATTGTGTTTGGTTTTAACTTTCTTTGAAATAAGAAACTTCTTTTAATTTTTCCCCTTGCCCAAGGGACTTTGATGAGTAGACGTTCCTGTTTGGAGGTTTTCTTGCATTCTCAGAGCAAGCAAAAGTTACTTTCTTTGCCACATTGTTTTCCTCCTTGTGTATTGACCATGTTGAAGATTTTCATAACTAAGGAGCATATTTTAAATTTACTTGGAGGAAAAATTATTTCAATGACAGTAAGGTTTTAGAAGGCTCTACAATAACAAAATTATTTCCTTTAATTCAGTAGTTTTTGCTTTTCAGATATAAAGTACGTTTTTCTTTGTTTCTTTTGGTATTTTTGTTTTTTGAGACAGAGTCTCACTCTGTCACCCAGACTGGAGTGCAGTAGCGCTATCTCAGCTCACCCCAACCTCCACCTCCCGGGTTCAAACGATTCTCCTGTCTCAGCCTCCAGAGTATCTGAGATTACAGGCATGTGCCACCACACCCGGCTAATTTTTGTGTTTTTAGTAGAGATGGGGTTTCACCATGTTGGCCAGGCTGGTCTTGAACTCCTGACCTCAAGTGATCCACCCACCTCAGCCTCCCAAAGTGCTGGGATTACAAGCGTGAGCCACTGCGCCCAGCTAATTTTTGCAATTTTAGTAGAGATGGGGTTTCACCATGTTGGCCAGGCTGGCCTTGAAGTCCTGACCTCAAGTGATCAGCCTGCCTTGGCCTCCCAAAGTTCTGGGATTACAGGTGTATGCCACCATGCCCAGCAAACCTGTATTTAAGCTGTAAAAAGTTTCTGTTCAACTTTTGATTTTTGAAAATCTTTCTTTTCACAGCTCAAGTTTCCAAGTCTCTTAAGGAGCGATTAGGCATGTCAGCTGATCCAGATAATGAGGATGCAACAGGTAAGTAAATCCTAAGACCAGATTCTGATTATTTTTTTCTTTGCTGTAAGAGCCTTTGCTTTTTCTCAGATTTACCTGTTGCTTGCTAGGGC
This sequence comes from Homo sapiens, assembly GCF_000001405.40. NCBI lineage: Eukaryota > Metazoa > Chordata > Mammalia > Primates > Hominidae > Homo > Homo sapiens. The sequence continues at coordinate 203,840,467 of NC_000001.11, forward strand.
TTTTGATTTTTGTTCTTTTGTAGTTCTGTTTGTTTTTTAAGTAATTGATCAAGTCAGCTCAGACTCAACTGGGATCAATTCCTTTTTTGTGCTTAGAGATGGTAAAATGATTGTTCATCATAGCATTAATAGTAGGAAATTATTTATTTATTTATTTATTTATTTATTTATTTTATTTATTTTTGAGACAGAGTTTTGCTCTTGTTGCCCAGGCTGGAGTTAAATGGCAAGGTCTCAGCTCACTGCAACCTCCACCTCCTGGGTTCAAGCAATTCCCCTGCCTCAGCCTACCGAGTAGCTAGAATTACAGGCGTACGCCACCATGCCTTGCTAATATTTGTATTTTTAGTAGAGACGGGGTTTCACCATGTTGGTCAGGCTGGTCTCAAACTCCTGACCTTAGGTGATCCACCTGCCTCAGCCTCCCAAAATCCTGGGATTACAGGCACGAGCCACCGCACCCGGCTAAATAGTAGGAAATTAGAAACAACTTAAATATACAATAAAAAGGGTTTAGATAAAATTATGATAGTTATGTGCTAAAATAATTGCTGTCATGAAAAGTCAAATGCTGAACAACGATATGGAAAAATCAACTTGCATTGTATCAAGTGAAGAAAGATAACAGAGAGCACATACCACTTTTGACCTCCTGATTTAGGGCAACATAAGAATCTTTTTTTTTTTTTTATTTTTTTTTTTAGTATTTATTGATCATTCTTGGGTGTTTCTCGGAGAGGGGGATTGGCAGGGTCATAGGACAACAGTGGAGGGAAGGTCAGCAGATAAACATGTGAACAAGGGTCTGTGGTTTTCCTAGACAGAGGACCCTGCGGCCTTCTGCAGTGTTTGTGTCCCTGGGTACTTGAGATTAGGGAGTGGTGATGACTCTTAACGAGCATGCTGCCTTCAAGCATCTGTTTAACAAAGCACATCTTGCACCGCCCTTAATCAATTTAACCCTGTGTGGACACAGCACATGTTTCAGAGAGCACGGGGTTGGGAGTAAAGTTATAGATTAACAGCATCCCAAGGCAGAAGAATTTTTCTTAGTACAGAACAAAATGGAGTCTCCCATGTCTACTTCTTTCTACACAGACACAGTAACAATCTGATCTCTCTTTCTTTTCCCCACATTTCCCCGTTTTCTATTCGACAAAACCGCCTTTGTCATCATGGCCCGTTCTCAATGAGCTGTTGGGTACACCTCCCAGACGGGGTGGTGGCTGGGCAGAGGGGCTCCTCACTTCCCAGATAGGGCGGCCGGGCAGAGGCGCCCCCCACCTCCCAGACGGGGCAGTGGCCGGGTGGAGGCGCCCCCCACCTCCCTCCCGGACGGGGCGGCTGCCGGGCGGAGGGGCTCCTCACTTCGCAGACGGGGCGGCTGCCGGGCGGAGGGGCTCCTCACTTCTCAGACGGGGCGGCCGGGCAGAGACGCTCCTCACCTCCCAGATGGGGTGGCGGTCGGGCAGAGACACTCCTCAGTTCCCAGACGGGGCCGCGGCTGGGCAGAGGGGCTCCTCACATCCCAGACGGGGCGGCAGGGCAGAGGCGCTCCCCACATCTCAGACGATGGGCGGCCGGGCAGAGACACTCCTCACTTCCTAGACGGGATGGCGGCTGGGAAGAGGCGCTCCTCACTTCCCAGACTGGGCGGCTGGGCGGAAGGGCTCCTCACATCCCAGACGATGGGCGGCCAGGCAGAGACGCTCCTCACTTCCCAGACGGGGTGGCGGCCGGGCAGAGGCTGCAATCTCAGCACTTTGGGAGGCAAGGCAGGCGGCTGGGAGGTGGAGGTTGTAGCAAGCCGAGATCACGCCACTGCACTCCAGCCTGGGCAACATTGAGCACTGAGTGAGCGAGACTCCGTCTGCAATCCCGGCACCTCGGGAGGCTGAGGCAGGCAGATCACTCGCGGTCAGGAGCTGGAGACCAGCCCGGCCAACACGGCGAAACCCCGTCTCCACCAAAACATGCAAACACCAGTCAAGTGTGGCGGCGCGCGCCTGCAATCCCAGGCACTCTGCAGGCTGAGGCAGGAGAATCAGGCAGGGAGGTTGCAGTGAGCCGAGATGGCAGCAGTACAGTCCAGCCTTGGCTTTCACAACTTTGGTGGCATCAGAGGGAGACCGGGGAGAGGGGGAGGGGGAGGGGGAATCTTTTTTTTTTTTTTTTAAGTTTATTTTCTTATTATAGAAACTTATTCTCAGGAGAAACATGCATATGTATGAGATTATTCTAATTTTGTAAAGATATAAACATATACCTTTAAAAAAATCTTCAAAAATACACGAGAATATAAATAAAATTGGTGTCATCTGGGTATTGAGGTTTTCTTTATATTCTTTCTGTGTTATAATTTTTAAATTTTTTAAATTATGAAATATAACTACATAAGTATATATATGTACAGTTTAAGGAATAATAAAATGAACATCCATGTATTCAGCCTTCCGTCTTTTTTTTTTTAATACCTTGCTGAATTCAGTTTGAGGCTTTTAAAAATTTTATATTTTTACATCTCTATTTATGAATGCTGTTAGCCACCTTAGGTTACTTTTTATCCCCCATCCTTATCTCATTTGGATGTTAAAGTTATATTAGCATCATAAAAAGGGAGTCCGATGTTGGACATTCTTATTCTGTTGTATGCAACCTGAATTATTCAGAGATTTCTAGGGTTTTATCTCTCCCTAGTATGCTGCAGGTTCACTGTTGTGGATCAAACATGGATCATTTTTGTTCATTCTGCTAAATCAGTATTTATGATAATCAGTATTTATCATAAATACTGATTCAGTAAATACATAAATACTGATTCAGTGGGCCCTTGAATCTAAAGATTTGTCTTTAGCTCTAGAAAACATTAATTTCTTTTGAGTATGACTGCCCCACATTTCTTTTTGTTTTCTCCTTGTGAAATTTGTATTAGATAGATGTTGGAACTTTGGGACATATGCCTGCATGTCTCTGTATACTTTTTGTTTCTTTGTTTTTGGCTAACCTTCTGTGAGCTTTGTTCAACTTTATTTTTTAGACAAGGAATTGACAATTTTTTTCCTGTAAAGGGTCGGATATAAATAACTTTGCAGTCCACAGTATTGCAGCTACCCCACTCTGCCATTGTAGAATGAAAGCAGCCATATGCATATGTATGCAATATGTAAATGAATGACTGCTGGTGTGTTCTAGCAAAACTTCATTTACAAAATTAGGTGGTGGCCATATGGGCTATATATAGTTTGCCTATGCCTTTTTAAATGGCTGATTTGGGGCCAGCCTTATCTTTATTATCCAGTCCTTCATATGAATTTATTTTGGCACTTGGTGTTTTTATTTTTCAAGAACTTTCTTTGTTCTCTTATTTTTTTTTCTTTATTCTCGGCCTGGGATTTCTTCTTTTTTTTTGAGATGGAGTTTCGCTCTTGTTGCCCAGTCTGGAGTGCAATGGTGCGATCTCGGCTCACTGCAACCTCTGCCTCCCAGGTTCAAGTGATTCTCCTGCCTCACCCTTCCGAGTAGCTGGGATTACAGGCATGCGCTACCACGCCCGGCTAATTTTGTATTTTTAGTAGAAACGGGGCTTCTCCATGTTGGTCAGGCTGGTCTCGAACTCCCGACCTCAGATGATCTGCCCACTTTGGCCTCCCAAAGTGCTGGGATTACAGGCGTGAGCCACTGTGCCCGCCTTTATTTTTTATTTTTATTTTTGTTTGAGACAGAGTCTCACTCTCATCCAGGCTGGAGTGCAGTGGCGTGATCTCAGCTCACTGCAACCTCTGCCTCCCAGGTTAAAGCGATTCTCCTGTCTCAGCCTCCCGAGTAAATGGGATTACAGGCATGTGCAATCACGCCTGGCTAACTTGTATTTTTAGTAGAGACGGGGTTTCACCCTGTTGGCCAGGCTAGTCTCCAACTCCTGATCTGCCTCACCTCAAGTGATCTGCCTGCCTTGGCCTCCCAAAGTGCTGGGATTACAGGTGTGAGTCACTGCGCCTGGCCTGCTCTGGGATTTCTAATTCAAATCTTTATTTTTATTTTTAAAAGTTTGTGTATTATTTTGGCTTCTTAACCACTTCTTTTTATTTATTTTGGTTTATCTTAAATATTGTTGTTTTTCCATAGTTGTAAGTACCTGGCTTGGGTTTCCTTTCATTTTAAAGACCCTTTCCCCAAGTTGTCCTCTCTCCTGACTGGGAGACTCCATTTATGTCTGGCTAAGTGGAGAGGGTGTACTAACAGGCAGCTTGTATGGACTGAAGATGGGAGGTCTGGGGGCTCATACAATTGCCACAGTAAGACTTTATTTTCTGAGTGGAAACAACTTCTTTCCTTTTTCAGATTTGCTGTTTACTTTTATCCCTCCTCCCTCCCCTTTTTCTGCTTGGTATTGTGAAAGCTTGGGATTTTCATGCTCTACTTCTCTCCAGCCCCAACATCTTCATAATGTGCTCTTCGTGGGCAAACTTGCCTCTTTTTAGGGAGCAGTTCTCAGGAGGAGGTCATGACTGGCCCAACTGTTCTATAGGCAGTCCTTAAATTTCTACCCTAATGGTTATGTCAGATCCCACCGTTGCTTTTAATATTAGTTAACCCAAGTTTGACAGTTTCCTTTGACTGTATTGGGAGGAACAGAACTCACGCCTATGGTTTTAACTATTATTTTTCCATTTTTCTGTAAATTCAGACATCTGCTTTCTGTTTTAGAAATTCTTCAAGATGTATGCTCTGCCAGTGACATCCTTATTTCTCATTGCTGGTGTGGATTTATTTTATTTTTAATGTTTTATCATTTCAATGAAATTTTGGTAGGGGAGGGAAACAGGGCCTCTATGTCACCATTCATGTTGTACTTTCTTGGAGTGGTAATTTTGAAATGTTTGCCACCTTGGATTGAAAGAATTTGTGATTTTTTATTAAAGAACTTGAAGAACTAATTCAGTAAGTGAGTGCTTCCTTTGCAATATTACAGGTACCTAAATACAGTCGTTGTTCTCATGAAGTCTTTAGTGTGGTTGAAGATGCAATTACAGTGTACTGAGTGTTCAGTGCTTTGATCAGAAAAACTAAATTGGAGGGTATCAGGTTTTAAGCTGAATTCAGTTGAAACTAACCAGGCCTGGCGTGGTGGCTCACGCCTGTAATCCCAGCACTTTGGGAGGCCAGGCAGGTAAATCTCTTGAGACCAGGAGTTTTGAGACCAGCCTGGCCAACATGGCAAAACCCTGTCTCTACAAAAAATACAAAAATTAGCCAGGCGTGGTCGTGGGCACCTGTAGGCCCAGCTACTTGGGAGGCTGAGGCAGAGAATCACTTGAACCCAGGAGATGTAGGTTGCGGTGAGTCAAGATGACACCACTGCACACTCCAGCCTGGGCAACAGAGCAAAACTCTGTCTCAAAAAACAAGCAAACAAAAAACACAGGTAGCAAGAGAAATGAGAACAGCACGGAATACTCCAAGTAGAGGGAATAGTATACTCAGGAGTTTGGAAAGTGAGACAGAACACAGTATATTTTAAGATTTCAGACTGGGTATGGTGGCTCACACCTGTAATCCCAGCACTTTGATTGGCTGAGGCAGAAGGATCACTTGAAGCCAGGAGTTTGGAGACCAGCCTGGGCCACATAACAAGACCTCGTCTTTACCAAAAAAAAAAAAAAAAAAAAGATTTTGAAAAGATATAATTTTTTTGGGGGGGGGGTTCATTAAAAGCTGTTATTCAGTGATTACATATATATGTGTATGATCTCCAAATTATCATTTATTTCATAGCACTATCTCTTTTCATTATTTATTTTCTTAGCCCTTCAGTAATGAGAATGGTTCTATCTGTGAAGTGTGACATTTGGTCTTCAGTTTAGACAGATATAGAACGATTAATGTATCATTGAAAATAGCTCTTCAGTGGCATGCCAATTTCTGGGCCTTCTGCATTTTTCTTCTATCTTGTCACCTGTTTTACCTTCTTTTTATCCTTTAAATTTAATATCATTTCCTTGTAGACAAGTGTAGGTGTTCCTGCTGTGTCCTTTTATAGCATTATACCTACCTTATCAAAGCAGTTATCATTACCATACTCTGCTATAGCTAGTTTAATTATTGATCTGTTAGACTGTAAATTACATGTGGACAGAGATTTTATTTTGCTTACCATTGTATTTCTAGCCCAGTGTTCATTACATGTTTATAGCCATAAGTTAATGAAGAATTTATTGCTATTTTTGTTAAGATTTATAATGACAAATTTATCCAACTAGTAAATGGCTTTCAGTTTCTGAAGAATAAGCTTCTGAATAGAAATACAAATCAATTTTTGCCTCCAAAGAGTTTTCCTTGAGGACCACTGCCTGGAACTTGCAGTAATCTAAAATTGAAATAGAAACAATTAGCCGGGCTTGGTGGTGGGTACCTGTAGTCCCAGCTACTTGGGAGGCTGAGGCAGGAGAATCACTTGAACCCTGGGAGGCAGAGGTTGCAGTGAGCTGAGATTATACCACTGCACTCCAGCCTGGGTAACAGAGTGAGACTCTGTCTTAAAAAAAAAAAGAAAAAGAAAAAAAGGAAAAGAAATAAATGTTACCCTTTTGATCCTTTTAATTGCCTGCTTAAATGATAGCTCTCTGTTGGACTGTCTTGATCCAAGAATAGAGAGATCATAAGTCAGTAAGAGATGAACTTCAAGTATAATGACATGTTTTTCTCCTGTGAAAACAGATAAAGTTAATAAAGTTGGTGAGATCCATGTGAAGACATTAGAAGAAATTCTTCTTGAAAGAGCCAGTCAGAAACGTGGAGAATTGCAAACTAAACTCAAGACAGAAGGACCTTCAAAAACTGATGATTCTACTTCAGGAGCAAGAAGCTCCTCCACTATCCGTATCAAAACCTTCTCTGAGGTCCTGGCTGAAAAAAAACATCGGCAGCAGGAAGCAGAGAGACAAAAAAGCAAAAAGGATACAACTTGCATCAAGCTAAAGATTGATAGTGAAATTAAAAAAACAGTAGTTTTGCCACCCATTGTTGCCAGCAGAGGACAATCAGAGGAGCCTGCAGGTAAAACAAAGTCTATGCAGGAGGTGCACATCAAGACGCTGGAAGAAATTAAACTGGAGAAGGCACTGAGGGTGCAGCAGAGCTCTGAGAGCAGCACCAGCTCCCCGTCTCAACACGAGGCCACTCCAGGGGCAAGGCGGCTGCTGCGAATCACCAAAAGAACAGGTAACAAGAGAACTTGGTCTCTAGTACCACGTCCCCACATAATATTCCAGAGGAGTGTTCCGTGGGATCTTCCTAGGAGTTGTTTGACAACCTTTCTTTACTCAGATAACGTTGAAAACACTGAATTAAATGAAGTTTTTCAGTAGTGCTATGTAGACCTATGCTATTTTGTTTTATTTTATTTTTGAGACAGAGTCTCACTCTGTCACCCAGGCTGCAGTGCAGTGGCATGACCTTGGCTCACTGTAGCCTCCACCTCCTAGGTTCAAGTGATTCTCCTGCCTCAGCCTCCCAAGTAGCTGGGGCTACAGACATGTGCCACCACACCCCGCTAATTTTTGTATTTTTAATAGAGATGGGGTTTCAGCATGTTGGCCAGGCTGGTCTCAAACTCCTCACCTCAAGTGTGATCTGCTTGCTTCAGTCTCCCAAAGTGCTGGGGTTACAGGTGTGAGCCACCATGCCCGGCCAACCTTTGCTATTTTAATGTGTATTTTGAGACTTTAGGAGCACAGATGGGCTTTATCTGTAATTTTATTTGTCCTGTCTTACTACTTTCATTAAATAAAGTTTTGTTTAACATATCTATCATGAAGTTGCAGCTTAAATAAAATAACTAATGATGTCTTTAATGTGAATACAGGGATGAAAGAAGAGAAGAACCTTCAGGAAGGAAATGAAGTTGATTCTCAGAGCAGTATTAGAACAGAAGCTAAAGAGGTAAATTTAAGATTATTGTATGGTTTTGTTCATGGCAAACAAAGGCTAGATAATTGGTAGTTTTACCTTACAATAAATTTCTAAGTACTTCATTCATATATTAGGTAAACAGTCTTTCTTTTTACTTATAATTTCTTATGAGAATTTCCTGTAGTTCTATGTATATCAGTATTCGCTGCCCTTTTAAAGTTTTTTGTTTGCCGGGCGCGGTGGCTCACGCCTGTAATCCCAGCACTTTGGGAGGCTGAGGCGGGCGGATCACGAGGTCAGGAGATTGAGACCGTCCTGGCTAACACGGTGAAACCCCGTCTCTACTAAAAATACAAAAAATAAAGTTTTTTGTTTAATTGGCCATTACTTTTTTTTAACTGAGTTTTTTCTAATGCTATGCATCATACAAAAGTTGGAAATTTTATTTTTTTTAAAACTGAACAAACCCTAAAAATATACAGCTCAGATGTAACCATCATTATCTTTTCCATGGATTTCTTCGAGCTTTTTCAGTCTTGCTCTGTTGCCCAGGCTGGAGTGCAGTGGCATGATCTCGGTTCACTGCAACCTTTGCCTCCTGGGTTCAAGCGATTCTTGTGCCTCAGCCTCCCATGTAGCTGGGATCAAAGGCATGCACCACCAAGCCTGACTAATTTTTGTATTTTTAGTAGAGACAGAGTTTCTCCATGTTGTCCAGAGTGGTCTCGAACTTCTGGCTTCAAGTGATCTGCCTGCCTTGGCCTCCCAACGTGTTGGGATTACATGTGTGAGCCACCACACTTGGCCTTCTTCGACCTTTTTGTTTATATATGCATGCATGTGAATTTGTTTAATGTTAAACCCATGTTTAGAACATAATGGAGAACTCTACAGTGTATCATTTTACAGCCTGCTTTAACTTTACCATGTTAATAATTCTTCAAGAAGTTTGTTTTTACTGACCACATGATTCTCCATTATACAAATACAGTCTTTTTCTGGACATTCAGATTTTGTTTTACACAATTTAAAGTAATATATTTGTACATAAATCTTTGTGCAGGTATTTGATTATTTAGGAATCATTAGTATTTGACTTAGAGTCATGGTTGTCTAGCCTGTGGAATCTGGGTTTTTTATTATTCCATACATCTGTAATTCTAATCTTTCATCTTTAACAGGGTATTGTCTATTTAACATCAAATAAAGAGCTTTTCTCTCAGATTCTGGATCATGTGAGATTCTGCTTAACTTAGATGTTAGCCTGGTACTTACATCATACAGGTTATTAGAGGTACCAGATTTTAATTCTGTCATTCAAATTTATCCACAGGCTTCAGGTGAGACCACAGGAGTTGACATCACTAAAATTCAAGTCAAGAGATGTGAGACCATGAGAGAGAAGCACATGCAGAAACAGCAGGAGAGGGAAAAATCAGTCTTGACACCTCTTCGGGGAGATGTAGCCTCTTGCAATACCCAAGTGGCAGAGAAACCAGTGCTCACTGCTGTGCCAGGAATCACACGGCACCTGACCAAGCGGCTTCCCACAAAGTCATCCCAGAAGGTGGAGGTAGAAACCTCAGGGATTGGAGACTCATTATTGAATGTGAAATGTGCAGCACAGACCTTGGAAAAAAGGGGTAAAGGCAAGTATTTCTATACTGTGTATTGCTTTAGGTTATCAAAATTACCAAATTCAACCCAATTGTTGCCAGTAACTTCCTGGCAACAATTGGGTTGAATTTCATTTGCCTTCTATCCACAGGTAGATAGTAATATTTCTGATATTTTTATACAGAGGCAAAACGAGATGAATTCTTTTCTCAGAATTTAAAATTGCTATTTAAAAAGCTTTGTGTAAAACTTTCTATGGTGCATCTTTCCTCTGGTATTGAATAAAAACAAGGAATAGAGGAATGGTAACAAATTTAAGTGGTATTGTATCTACATGGTGACCACCTGTAGTGACCACCATGTGACCACAAATTGCCTTTGAATCGTTTTCAGTCTCTTTTTAAATGAATTATTTGTGGTATTTCTAGTACTGAAGGAGTTTTGATATTTTATTCTGAATTATTCCCCATTTAAAAGAGTCTATTCTCACTGCTTATCAGATATTTTCTGCCCTTTGTAGCTAAACCCAAAGTGAACGTGAAGCCATCTGTGGTTAAAGTTGTGTCATCCCCCAAATTGGCCCCAAAACGTAAGGCAGTGGAGATGCACGCTGCTGTCATTGCCGCTGTGAAGCCACTCAGCTCCAGCAGTGTCCTACAGGAACCCCCAGCCAAAAAGGCAGCTGTGGTAAGAAGTATATTCACTTTGTGGTGCTTTATTCTGTGTGGTAGGAAAGCAGGAAAGACTAACTCTCCACTAGCATTCTATCTTGAGTATATCACTTCCTGGCATTTCCTAGCATTTTAGTAATTTGGGTTACTACTGTATTTTATACTTACAGTTTGATATTTGTGAAGTAGCAGGACAGGATTTTTTAAAAGCTAATTTTTAGGTGGCAAGATATTTTGCTTATTTATATACTCAACCTTTAGATTATCGATTCTTAGATTCACAGGCTTAAAGAATCATAGCCACAATTCTAAGAAGGCAGCAAAAGAAAATGAATATGCTCAAATTAAAAAGCCTGACTCTCACTGAATTACCTGACTCTTCCTTTTGTAGGCTGTTGTCCCGCTTGTCTCTGAGGACAAATCAGTCACTGTGCCTGAAGCAGAAAATCCTAGAGACAGGTAATACTTTGTAATTCTTTCTAAACAAACTCCAGGCCCCTGTTACTGTTTAGGCTCTCTAGAGAATAACACTGATAAATAACTTTAGCAACATTCAAATAAATCTGTTGCACTTCAAATTAATTGCAAGAAAGTATGAAAATCTAGGGTTGCTGTTCTTCTTTGGTGCCATTGTTTACATTTTGCTATATTACCTAAAAGATGTTTTTTTGTTTTTTTGTTTGAGGCAGCGTCTCACTGTGTCACCCAGACTGGAGTGCAGTGGCACAATCTCTGCTCACTGCAACCTCCACTTCCCGGGTTCAAGCAATTCTCCTGCCTCAGCTTCCCAAGTAGCTGGGATTACAGGTGCCTGCCACAAGGCCTAGCTAATTTTTGTATTTTTAGTAGTGACAGGGTTTTGCCACATTGTCCAGGGTGGTCTCAAACTCCTGACGTCAAGTGATCCACCTTCCTCGTCTTCCCAAAGTGCTGGGATTACAGGCATGAGCTACCATGCCCGGCCCCTGAAAGATGTCTTTAACACCTACTTTGAGTTATAAAAATGCTTGGTGCTGGCCAGGCAAGGCGGCTTATGCCTGTAATCCCAACATTTTGGGAGACTGGGGCTGGAGAATCACTTGAGCTCAGGAGTTCAAGACCAGCCTGGACAACATAGTGAGGTCTTGTCTCTAATAAAAATCAAAGAAATAAAAAAAAAATCACATGGTGACACACACCTGTAGACCCAGCTACTTGGGAGGCGGAGGCAAAATGATCGCTTGAGCCCAGGAGGTCGAGGCTGCAGTGAGCCATGATTGTACCACTACACTCCAGCCTGGGTGACAAAGGGAGACTCTGCCTCAAAAAAAAAAAAAAAAAAAAAAAAAAAGCTTGATCCCAAATCAGTAAAAGAATTATTTCTTTATGTATGTTCTTAAAAACAAATTTTTGCTCACTTTGTGTCCGTGAGACTAGGTGATTCAGCCAACTATTTTTAAAACGGCAGTTTTCTAATAATCTTTTTTTTCTTACAGTCTTGTGCTGCCTCCAACCCAGTCCTCTTCAGATTCCTCACCCCCGGAGGTGTCTGGCCCTTCCTCATCCCAAATGAGCATGAAAACTCGCCGACTCAGCTCTGCCTCAACAGGAAAGCCCCCACTCTCTGTGGAGGATGATTTTGAGAAACTAATATGGGAGATTTCAGGAGGCAAATTGGAAGCTGAGATTGACCTGGATCCTGGGAAAGATGAAGATGACCTTCTGCTTGAGCTATCAGAAATGATTGATAGCTGAAGGTGGTAGTGAGGACACTTTAAAAAAAAAATCGCCAAAAAACTGGACTTAGTTTCATCTATTGTAACATTTACCTGAGATGATCATTTCTTTAGTCTAGAATTTGCCCCAAATCAGAAGTATACCTCTGAATTATCTGTATGTGTCCTGGATTCCTTGGGGTCAGATTTTTAAAGTTACTTTATAACCATTTTGTCCATTTGATGCCATTGTTTATCATCTTTTGAGAAAAAAGTTCTGTCATACCCTTCTCTCCACAAAAAAGAGACTGAGAGGGAGATCAAGTGAAAGGGTGCAAGCGAACTTAGTGACTCCTTGAGGTGTTTGTCAGTTTTGGCTTTTTTCTTCTTTGTTGTATTCTTTATGTATTGTCTTGATGTACTTAATATTACCTGAGTTTGAAATGGATGAAGACAGCTGCTACCATTAAGGACCAAATTTTATGCTACCACTAAACAAAAATACCCACTCAGTCTGTGTTAAATTGTATGTCTTTTTAAAGGTATTTAAAGATTCAACTAAGCTTTAAAGAGGGCTGAGCAGCTCAGGAAGCCTGTAATGTGGGCATAACTCTTTGGACCTGATCTTGATGCTTCTGCTGCTCTGTTAGCCTCTGAAGAGCAATATCTAATTTATTATTACTGTAATTTTTTAAAAGGCTTTAAAGTGCCTCAGGGGTCCCCTGAAACTAATTTTCTATTTCTGGGATTCCCTGGATTCATTATATGAGATGGTGACATGATTAGAGGAATTCTTTTTTAGTATGAAAATTGTCCTTTTTCTTCTTCAGTACTTGCCTCCTTGCTGGCATTGAATTAACACAGGGACAAAATTTGGTTAATTTTTTATTTCTAACTCTCCCAACAAACCCCTGTTGCCCAGTATTTGTTTGGTGGCCTTTAACCACCTGAGGGAAAAAATGAGCTTATTCAAGCTGCCAATATTTATCTATGGGCTGTAGCAGTACACTGAATTGTACTGTGCCAGGGATATTGAGATGCTCTGGGGGTGTATTGTATACCTGCCAGTTTTCTTCATTTCTGAATTGAGTTTTCTTTTCTTGATGTTGGTTTCCTTCATATCACCTCAAGGTTTAGATTTGTGAAGGAATAAGCATGATGGAAATAATAGTCTTGAAAGGAGATATGTTGTATATAATCAGGAGGAAGAGGAAGGAAGGACTTACCCATTTTGATATTTTGCTGTAGGTGGCCAGTTTTGTTTCTCATAGGGAAATCTGACCCACCTGTCATGTTGGCTCCTAAGGAACTGCTGTTGTAAGCGGCTCATCAAGAGTTGAACTTCACGTAGCCTTGTTGGGAATATGGAAAAGGAAGAAAGCCACAGGACTGCCCATTCAGTCTTGGGAAGATTGGGATGATTCTGCACAAGCAAAAATGACTGAAGTTTATGTATAGACACACCTCTACCAATCCATCTTCAGCTGACTGAATGTTGTATGATAGCCCTTCTCCAAAGCAGAGGTAGAATGTTCAGGTTTCACCATGGATTTTCTACTTATTTCGTTTTTGGAATCAGCTTACAGATTCCAGGTCCCTTTTGTATATATTCTTTATTCTTTTGCTTTTTTAAAAAATAATTTTGTTTCATATTTAAAGCACTTGTATTAGTCAATGTTTCGTGTTCCGCATTATTTGAACCATTTGCCCTTACAGAAAGAGAAATACTTGTTTGTGTTTTAAATAAAACTGATGTAGGAAAGTCTTGATGTTGTGAGCTAAGTAATCTTACATCATCATATCAGCCTGGGATCCATCTTGACAAGAGACCCCAGACAGAATGCTATTGGCCTTTCGTGTAAGTGCCCGAATTTCAGTTATTATTTGGCTTAGAAACCTTTCATCTGGATATATTGCCAAATTTACAAGTGTGCTCAATTTTAGCTGCATATGCTTTAGGTAAGAATTTATATTATTATAATGTGAGGATTTTTTTTCTGACACGGATACTTACTCCTTAGTGTTGTAACTCAAGCAATGCCATTAAGTTTTTAAAAGGAGGGAGGGTTTAAAAGTGATCTTAGGGAGTCTCTCTGGGCCTACTCTGGCTCAAGAGGCTGATAAAAAATAAATAAATGAATAAACTTGATCTTTAGAGTCAACGATTTAGAATTTTCAAGCATGAAGGTGCAGCAGATAAGAAATTTAATTTATAGAAGTCCAGGTTTCTTAATATGTGTGCCAATTTTTAAAATTGTAGGAAAGTATATGTTTGTTAGCTACCAAAGAACATAGATTTTTCCTATTAGTCTAAAAGTCGTCCCAACAAGTTGAATCAACTTTTCACAAAAAGCAAAAGACTATAGTTTTGAATGATAGTTTTTCATTTTAACAGTAAGAAAAGGGCCCAAATATTCCAGTTTGGTTATAGCCAGAAATAAGATAGTTTTATGTTTCATATATTTTATCTCAAGATAATAATTCCTAAAGTTCTAGCCTTAACCCTAAATCTCAGTGGTTCTTCTTTAAAGCTAGAACATAGTGTGTTTTCATCTTGATCAGTATTTGAAAGATGAGACTGATGTTTACTAATTACAATTGCAGTAACAAAGCTTGATCTATTAATATATTGATCAGAGTTCCATGATCCTTTTCTAAAATGGTGGCTTTATTTTGCCAGAATAATTCTGCAGGGTGTTTTTTTTAAGACAGAGTCTCACTCTGTTGCCCAGGATAGAATGCAGAGTGGCACAATCTTGGCTCACTGCAACTCTTGCCTCCCAGTTTCAAGCGATTCTCCTGCCTCAGCCTCCTCAGTAGTTGGGATTACAGGGGTGCACCACCACACCTGGCTAATTTTTATATTTTTAGTAGAGACAGGATTTCACCATGTTGGCCAGGCTGGTCTGGAACCCCTGACCTCAAGTGATAGGCCTTCCTCGGCCTTCCAAAGTGCTGGGATTACAGGTTGTGAGCCACCACGCCCAGCCAACAGTTCTGCAGTTCTGTAAAGTATTTGATTGCTTTGAATTTGGCTGTAGCACAGGAAATACATGGTCTCCAGTTGTAACTGCTTAATAGGTAAAACTTAAATTAGCTAACATTTATTGAGTACTTATTGTGTATCTTTAATTCACGTCCTCATTTTGACACTAAATTATACAGTACATTAAAGATGACTATTCCCGCACTGAAGTTTCAGGGTCAGTATGTTTATATATTATGTGCCATTGGGTTTGATTAGTAGATCTTTTCAAGAGTGTTTTTTAAAATCATGACTTTATGAAGCTGCTCAGTAACTCTGAAAATTCCTACAACCCAGACATTTAACTGCATTAATAATTAAGACTCCAAACCGCAATTTATTTTGAATTTGCAAAAAGATATTAGTTAAGGGGCATGAACACAATTAAAATCCTTGACCATTCTCTTAAGTTTGTTCAATAAAGTGGGCAAAAAATAAGTAATGACCGTAAATAAGAACAGCAATCAAGAATTTAGTTTTACATTTAAAAAAAGTAATTTTGGCTGGGCACGGTGGCTCACGCCTGTAATCCCAGCACTTTGGGAGGCCGAGGTGGGTGGATCATCTGAGGTCAGAAGTTTGAGACCAGCCTGGCCAACATGGCAAAACCCCATCTTTACTGAAAGTACAAAAAAATTAGCCAGGCGGGGTGGCATGCACCTATAATCCCAGCTACTTGGGAGGCTGAGGCAGGAGAATTGTGTGAACCTGGAAGGCGGAGGTTACAGTGAGCCGAGATCAATCACCACTGCACTCCAGCCTGAGCAACAGGGCAAGACTCCATCTCAAAAAAATTTTTTTTGGATTTATATTTACTGAGAGGGTCTGTTACTAAGGTATTTAGATTTGGTTGGATTTAACTGCTAAAATGTTGTAGAGTCTGAATCTATGGCATGGTAAAGAATAATCACAGCCATTCAGCAAGTTGTGAAGCTTCTGGTTGGGATGAAAGAAACTTCAAGCTGAGAGGAAGAATGTTCTGAAATATTTGGGAGGTTTGGCAGACTCCTTTCTCAGGGGTATGTTCATTTGGGCCAGTGATTCTGAAGCCCACTTTGCAGATATCTTAGGTGTGTCATGAAGTTTTACAAGAACATTGTGAGTAGTTGCAATAACAAAAGGAAACAAATGTTTCATATTACTTTCCATTATCCGTGTCTCAGGTATTCTTCCAGAGATACTTTAGCCATGTGTAAGTGAATACACTTCCATACAATATCATGCGTAAAACACATGACATTCTGAACCCTGCCGTTTTTATTAAAGAAAATTTCAAATGTATTTAGAATTAAAGTATAATAAACTCCACATAGTCACCCAGTTTCAACAATTGCAGATTCATGGCCAATCCTCTCTTCTTTACCTTACCAACTATCCATCACCCCCTATTCTGACCTACTTGACTGGGCTGAGGGTGAGGCAAGCAAGGTATTGGGCACAATTTAAGGAGGCACTCACTTTTCAAGGCTTGTATTTGCACATGTGATTGTGATTCCTACAATTATGCTCAATCCTTAGCCTTGCCTTATCTGAGATCTGGCCCTGCTGGCTCCACTGAGTTATTTTGAAGTAAATCTCAAGCATAGTATACCTTGCTTTTTTTTTCATCATGTATATTGGATATCGTTTCATATCGGGACACAAAGACCTTTAATCTTAGTAACAGTTGCATAGAATTGCACCCTATGAAGATGCAGTAATTTATAATAGTCCCTATTGATAGACATTTAGGTTGCTTCCCATCTTGGTATTTTAAACAATGTTGTGATGATTACATTATACCACACATGTAAGTTTGTATGGAGGATAAGTACCTAGAAATAGAGCTTAATAATTTACAGTACCACTATTTTTTCATTTCCAATCTAATAAGAGAAATAGTACTTCAGTGTAGTTTGGTGTGCCTTTCTTTTTTTTCTTTTGTGACAGACATTCTGAATGTAGCCTTTCTGTTATGAGTGAAGCTGGGCATCTTTTCATGTTTAAAGACCACTCCTATATCCTTTGCTACAAACTGATGCTCACATCCATTGCCAATTTTAATTTTGAGTCTTTTTTTGTTTTGAGACGGAGTCTTGCTCTGTCACCCAGGCTGGAGCGCAATGGCGTGATCTCCACTCACTGCAACCTCCGCCTCCTGGGTTCAAGCAATTCTGCCTCAGCCTCCCGAGTAGCTGGGATCACAGGCGCCCGCCACCACACCCAGTTAATTTTTGTATTTTTAGTAGAGATGGGGTTTCGCCATGTTGGCCAGGCTGGTCTTGAACTCCTGACCTCAGGTAATCCGCTGGCCTCAGCCTCCCAAAGTGCTGGGATTACAAGAGTGAGCCACCGTGCCCGGCCCAGGCTTGGCTTTTAAAAGTGCTGGTAGAGCAGCTGGGCGCAGTGGTTCACACCTGTAATCCCAGCACTTTGGGAGGCCAAGGCAGGTGGATCAAGAGGTCAGGAGATCAAGACCATCCTGGCCAACATGGTGAAACCCTGTCTCTACTAAAAATACAAAAATTAGCCGGGCGTGGTGGCACATGCCTGTAATCCCTGCTACTCGGGAGCCTGAGGCAGGAGAATCGCTTGAAGCCAGGAATCGGAGGTTGCAGTGAGCCAAGATTGTGCCACTGCACTCCAGCCTGGTGACAGAATGAGACTCCGTCTCAAAAAAAAAAAAAAAAAAAAAAGTGCTGGTAGCTTCAACCTTGGTTTCCTAGACCCCTAATCCCCCATATAAGAAAGCATACCACCCTTCTAGAGAAACCGTGTGGTGAGGGCTGAGACTACATAGAGATAGGGACCCAGCTGAGGCCAGTCTTCCAAAGATACACACCAAAGCCGTAGATATGTCTTGTGGAGCAGAAGAATCACTCAGCTGAGAACCTGCCCAAATTCCTGACCCATGAAGTCATGAATTATAACAAAATGGTTGTTGTTTTAAGCTACTAAGTTTTGGAATATTTCTTACACATCAGTAAAGACCAGAATAGCATTCTTTTTCAGGAACTCTACATATTAGTAAAATTAATCATTTTTCAGATGTAATGCAAACATATTTTTCCTAGATGTTTTGACTTTGTTTATTGTTTCCCTTTTTAGTCATGCATAATTTTATTTTTATGTAGTTGCATTTATCATTCTTTTTTTCCCCTAAAAACCAGCTAGAGCATACAATTGAGGAAAAGATAGAATTTTTAAGAAGAAGAGAGATGAAATAGCTAAGGTTGAACTTAAGAAATCACAAGGTCTATATGAAGACAACCAAAAACTTTTGAAAGATTCAAAGGAAAGTTTGAACAAATAAAAAGACATCATGTACTTGGATTTAAAAAAGTAATCCTGGCCAGGTTCAGCTAACACGTGTAATCCTAGCACTTTGGGAGGCCAAGGCAGGAGAATCACTTGAGGCCGGGAGTTCAAGACCAGCCTGGTCAATATAGCAAAACCCCGTCTCTACTAAAAATACAAAAAGTTAGCCAGGTGTGGTGGTGCACACCTGTGGTCCTAGCTATTCCAGAGGCTGAGGTGGGAGGATCGCATGAGCCCTGGTGGGGAGGTTGTAGTGAGCCGAGATTGTACCACTGCATGTCAGCCTGTGCCATATCAGGAGATCCTGTCTAAAAAGAAGGTGGGGGAGGGCGGTGGGGAAAAATAAATAAACACGCTGTCTTAAAGTCAGACAACATGACACTCTGTTGGGTTTGGGTGGGGGAATGATTTTTTTAAAGACTGGGTCTCACTATGTTGCCCAGGCTGGAGTGTAGTGGCTATTTATAGGTGCCATTACAGCTCACTGCACTCTTGAACTAGGCTCAAGCAGTCCTACTACGTCAGCCTCCCCTAGTTCTTGGGAATACAGGCCATGCCACAAAACCCAGCTAGGGAATCTTTTTTTTTTTTTTTTTTTTTTGACAGGGCCTGGCTCTGTTGCTCAGGCTGGAGTGCAGTGGCATGATCTCTGCTCACTGCAACCTCTGCCTCCCGGGTTCAAGAGATTCTCCTGCTTCAGCTTCCAGAGTAGCTGGGACTACAGGCAGGCACCATCAGGCTCGGCTAATTTTTAAATTTTTTGGTAGAGCCAAGGTCTCATTATGTTGCTCAGGCTGGTCTTGAACTCCTGGGTTCGAGCAAGCCTCCTGCTTCTGCTTCTCAAAATGCTGGGATTACAGGCATGAGCTCGCGCACCTGGCTGAAATTTTTTTTTTTTTTTCTTTGAGACAGAGTCTTGCTCTGTCACCCAGGCTGGAGTGCAGTGGCGCGATCTCGGCTCACTGCAACCTCTGCCTCCCAGATTCAAGCAATTCTCCTGCCTCAGCCTCCTGAGTAGATGGGACTACAGGCGCCTACCACTACGCCCAGCTAATTTTTGTATTTTTAATAGAGACGGGGTTTCACCATATTGGCCAGGCTGGTCTCAAACTCCTGACCTTGTGATCTGCCTGCCTCAGCCTCCCAAAGTGCTGGGATTTACAGGCATGAGCCACTGTGCCCAGCCCTGGCTGAAATTTTTTAAAGGAAATAGTTATCCCATGCATTTGCCAGCTTTGTGTAGTTTATTTATTTATTTATTCTTATTTATTTTTTTGAGACGGAGTCTCGCTCCGTCACCAAGGCTGGAGTGCAGTGGCATGATCTCGGCTCACTGCAACCTCTGCCTCCTGGGTTCAAGTGATTCTCCTGTCTCAGTCTCCCAAGTAGCTGGGATTACAGGCATGTGCTACCATGCATGGCTAATTTTTGTATTTTTAGTAGAGACAAGGTTTCACCATGTTGCCCAGGCTGGTCTCGAACTCCTGACCTCAGTTGATCCACCTGCCTCGGCCTCCCAAAATGCTGGGATTACAGGCGTGAGCCTGGCCGCTTTGTGTAGTTTAAAAATCACTTTCAACTCAACCCCTTTCTGAAGTCGTTATTACTATTATCCCCATTAAACAGAAGCCCTCAGAAAAGCTAATTTTGATTCTGCCATTTGCCCTAATCCGTGTTCCCTTAGGCAAGTCCTTTCAAAAGTCTAAACTTCAGTTTCCTCCTCTATAACATGTGTATGCCAATTAAGTGAAATCTCTGCCAGGCCACAAGCCATGACACAATGGAAAGGTAGGTGGACTTTGGGGTCAGGCACACCTACAAATTCCAGCTGCTCCACTTAGTAGCTGTGTTATCCAGGGAAGGACATGTTCTGACACTGGCTGACGCCTAACTGTGTGCACACATAGACAATTATTTCATTGAATCTTTAAGCCCCTGAGTAAAGTTAATCTTTACTATAATCTCCGTTTTGGAAACTAAGCCAAGACATGGCGAGGCTGAGTAATTTATCCTTGGTCACCAACTCTAAAAGAGCTGGATTTGCGCCCAGCATGTGGATTTCAGCGTCTTCCTGGTAAATCGCCACCCTCAGTTGCCACCTGAACAGTAACTCTCCACGAAATGGATGAGAATTGAATCCGTAACTGGAGGGAACCAGGCGTCTGGCTTTGGAATGCAGACCGCCTCTGGCCGACTGCCAGAGGTGGGAGGCCTGAAGTTTGGGCTCCTTGCCGCCCTACCCTTTCCACCACAACGCTGCTATCAAGCCTAAACTCCAGCAAAATAGGCTTTAGGAAAGGCACGAAATTAACTCATTTTACACATAGAGATACACACTGGGACGATTTTGGCTTTTCAAGCTAACTCAGAAAATGGAGATACAGGCCGGGCGCGGTGGCTTACGCCTGTAATCCCAGCACTTTGGGAGGCCGAGGCGGGCGGATCATGAGGTCAGGAGATCGAGACCATCCTGGCCAACATGGTGAAACCCCGTCTCTACTAAAAACACAAAAAATTAGTCGGACGTGGTGGCAGGCGCCTGTAGTCCCAGCTACTCGGGAGGCTGAGGCAGGAGAATCGCTTGAACCCTGGAGGCTGAGGTTGCAGTGAGCTGAAATCGCGCCACTGCACTCCAGCCTGGGCGACAGAGCGAGACTTCGCCTCAAAAAAAAAAAAAGAAAAGAAATTGGAGACAGGACGGCACTCCTCCTACCACGGCCACTATACAACCGAAGGCACCTCCTCCCGCCTCCCTCCAGGTGGCGCTGTAGGACCGGCCCACCTTCCACAGCGCAGACGCCTCAGTTTGGCCTCCCTCGGAGGCCATGCAGCGAAGAAACGTGACTTCATGGCTAGAGGGGCATTTCCCAGGAGCCGCCCATGCCGCCGCGTGACCTTCACACTTCCGCTTCCGGTTCTTTATTCCGGAAGTTGCTCTCAGAGGCAGCGTGCGGGTGTGCTCTTTGTGAAATTCCACCATGGCGTACCGTGGCCAGGGTCAGAAAGTGCAGAAGGTTATGGTGCAGCCCATCGTATCCTACGCAGGATGTCAGGACTAGGAGGTTCGGGTCAGAATACGGGGTGCGAAGGCGCAGGCTGAGGGCAGGCCTGGGATAGTGGAGTACGGATCCACATCCCATGAGCCCCCGGGGCTACCAAGACTGGAAGAAAGCGCGGGTAGTTGAACCGTGATGGTGGGGAGGTGGTCTTGGGGGGACCCCTGCCGTGGGGAATGCAGGAATGGACGCGGCAAAAGGAGGGAAGAGAACTTCAGGTGCGGAGTGAAAACGGGAGTTAACGGTTTTGGGAAACTCCAGGGGGATGAAAGTGGAATGGATGTTCTTTAGTCTTTAGAAGACCCGTAACGAATGCCCAGCTGGGCACTTGTTGTTTGCGTAAGCACCAGACCTCGCGTTTAGTAAACAAAGGTGAGACGGGAATAGCGTCGTCCGGTTGTTTCAGGAAGCAGAGTCTATGCTGCTTTTGTATTTTTTCCTTAGCCACTGTGGTGCAGAACCTCATCTTCAGATACTTACAAAATGTACGTAAGTTGCTTGTTTCGTAACTACTTTTTAAATAAGAGGTGAACTGATTTAGTTTTTTGTGTTAACCTGAGCGATCGCTGTGTTCTAGAATTTAAAAATAGATGTAACTGGAGATTGGAGGGTAATTGAGGGGAAGGAGTACTTAGAAAGCACTAATGTGATGAAGTGGTGTGTATCCATGCCACTTCCCAACATGCAAAGAATTGTATCCATTACTTTGCAAGATCAAAAATACTTTTTAATTCCAAAAAGTATTATTAGCAGACTTGACCATGGTATTTGGGCATCAGTAGTTTTGTTAGTAGTGATTATGGCTAGAACATTGGAACCTCTCCCCTTTAGGATGAAACATTGGAAGAAAAACCCAGCCAACTTAAACCATGTCAAGAGGTGGTGTGTTTAATACCTGTGGGAAAACTTAAAGACGAAAAAAGGAAGAGAGAAGGGGTAGCTTCAGAGGAGTTTAGTGGCAGCTGCTTTCCTTTGAGGGAAATTTTAGCAACTTAAATTTTATAGTGTGATAACACAACTGAAAAACATTAATTTCAGGTGATAATAATTCTTAACCACCTGAATTGAGGGCTCCTGTCCTAGTTGTTAGGTGTGTGACATGAGAAGGCTTTGTTTTGGAACTGGATTTTGCTGCAGGAGATAAGCCCTTGGTCATTAGAAATTACTGCTTTGTGCTATGCTGTCAAAAACTTTCACTCTTAATAGATTGAGACCAGAAGCAGTAAGAAATATTGAGTCCCAAAATCACAGGAAAATTATTAGCTTATACAGTTCCAATATAGAACTTATTAAATGAAAATTCTTTTTGAGGTTATTATTATTGGTGAATAATTCTTAGATATGGGCTAATTAGTTAAAACTTTTGACTTACATTCATTACAATTTTTTTAGGAGCCATATTTCTCTTGTCGTTTGACCAAAATGGTTAGGTTTTGTATACTTCAATTTTTTGGGGGGCGGGGGGCGGGGAGATCTTGCTTAATGTTGCGCAGGCTTATATTGAACACCTGGCCACAAAGCGAATTATTCCGCTTTGGCATCCCAAAGTATGGGAACGGTGTGAATCGAGGCACCTGGCCTGTTTTTCTTTTCTTTTTTTTGAGACGGAGTCTCACTGTGCCCAGGCTGGAGTGCAGTGGCGCGATCTCAGCTCACTGCAACCTCTGCCTCCCGGGTTCAAGCGATTCTCCTGCTTCAGCGTCCCGAGTAGCTGGGACTACAGGCGTGCGCCACCACGCCCAGCTAATTTTTTTTGTATTTTTAGTAGAGATGGGGTTTCACCATGTTAACGAGGATGGTCTCTATCTCTTGACCTTGTGATCCACCTCCCTCGGCCTCCGAAAGTGCTGGGATTACAGGCGTGAGCCACCGCGCCCGGCCCTATTTTTCTTTTTTTAACGTTTCCACTTTTATGATTATTTCAGAGATCGCGGATTCAGGTGTGGCTCTATGAGCAAGTGAATATGCGGATAGAAGGCTGTATCATTGTGAGTATCCAGGCGATTTCATCTCATAGCAGTTCGGTCGTAGAAAAAGACTTAACAGAAAGTGTCTAGCCAGAACAGTGTATAAAAAGTCAAAGATCCAACCTAAGGAAAGTTTTTCAGGTGCTGCTGTTTAGCCTTTTTTCATTGTTGATAGATAAGGATTGGGTAGTTTTTAATAGGGAAAATAACTTTTAATTCATTTTCTTTCCTCTGTCTATGTTGAGAAGAAAATTTGTATTTGATTTTTGAGAAAGGGCTTTGTTCTGTTGCTTAGGCTGGAGTGCAGTGGCACAATCATGGCTCGTTGCAGCCTCAACCTCCCGGGCTCAAGTAGTCCTCCTGCCTCAGCCTCCCAAGTAGCTAGGATCAGAAGCGTGCACCATCACAGCCTGCTAAATTTTTATTTTTTATAGAGATGAGGTCTCACTGTGTTGCCCAGGCTGGTCTCAAACTCCTAGGCTCAAGTGATTCTCCCACCTCAGCCTCTCAAAGTCTTGGGATTACAGGCATGAGCCACAACGCCTGGCTGAAAATTAACTTTTAAAAATTATTCGAAAAAAAAATATTGAGCGACAATGTTAGTATGGAGAGGGGGGACAAAATAAATGAAATTAGGGAGGGTGGGGTTATTTGTTGTGGGTTAGGTGATACCTGAATAGAGAGCTCAGTGGGGTTAGTTAAATAAGGCTTCTGGGATAGCAGGCTACCCTAAATTTTTTTTTTTAAGTTGGGGTCCGGCTCTGTCACCCAGGTGCTCTCAGCTCACTGCAATCTTGAACTCCTTGGCTCAAGTGATTTTTCCACCTCAGCCTCTAGTAGCTGGGAACTATAGGCATACACCACCAGGTCCAGCTAATTTTTAAATATTTTGCTGGGCAAGGTGGCTCACGCCTGTAATCCTAGCACTTAGGGAGGCCGAGCATGATGAATCACTTTAGCTCCAGAGTTCGAGACCAGCCTGGGCAACATGATGAAACCCTGTTTCTACCAAAAATACAAAAAGTAGCCAGGCATGGTGGTGCGCCCTGTAGTTCCAGCTACTTGGGGGGAGCTGAGGCAGAAGAATTGCTTGAACCCAGGAGGTCCAGCTGCAGTAAGCCGAGGTTGCACCACTGCACTCTAGCCTGGAAGACAAAGTGAGATCCTTTCTCAAAAAAAAAAAAAAAAAAAAAAAAACTTTGGGTGGAAGGTGGGGTGGGGCTTGAGAAGAGTGAATCTTTGAAGTTAGTTGGAGTTTTTATCTGCATAGGTATACTCATTTAAAATGGTTTGAATGTGATTTTCTTTGAAGATAACAGTTTGTTTATTTTTCTAGGGTTTTGATGAGTATATGAACCTTGTATTAGATGATGCAGAAGAGATTCATTCTAAAACAAAGTCAAGAAAACAACTGGGTAAGGATAGAAGTGGTCTTACAGAATTCTAGAAATATTTTATTCACTTGCAGAATTCAGTGACCTGCAACTCAGTTCATGTTTGAATTTATTTTGCATTTGAGAAGTTATTATTCAGAGTAGTAGTACACTTTTGAAATCATCCTCTACTACTCACTCCTCACCACACTCCATTTTGGCTTCTCCACCCAGAGAGCTCTCACCAAGGGAACCAAAGACTAGTGGTATTAAATCTAATGATCAGTACTAATCCTCATTTTATTAAACTCTCAACAGCATTTGGCACTGTTGGCTGCTCCCTCCTTAAAGCGCTTTGTTCCCGTGTCTGAGTGGCAGGAAAAACCCAAGTAGATTTTTCTGTTTCCTCAGTTGACAATAATTAACACAGAAGACTTCTGTGACCAGATGTATGGGCATATTTCCCCACACACCAAGCAAGCAATCAGTTCGGCAGTGGACATCAGCTCAGAGTCGTCAAGTTCAGTTCAGTTCTAACACTATCTACCTGAGATAGCGTCAGTTCCCAGAGGTTGAGGGCTCAATCCCCAAGATTGCCTTCCATGCCCCTCAGTCCTCCACCAGATGCTAATTGTCAGCTCCAGATTGTTTTACCTGTGCTTCTTACTGACTGGCTATAAACTGGGTCCCATGACCCCTCCGTTGGTTTGATTAATTTGCTAGAGCAGCTCACAGAACTCGGGGAAACACTTGTATTTACTGGTCTGTTATAAAGGATATTACAAAAAGTACAGATGAAGAGATGCGTAGGGCAAGGCATATAGGAAGGGATGCGAAGCTTTTGTGCCCTCTGCAAGCTCACCACTCTGGGAACCTCCACATGTTGAGCTATCAGAACCCCATTGTTTTCAGTTTTTATGTAAGCTTCATTATGTAGGCATGACTGATTAAATTGGCCGTTGGTGATCAGCTTAACCTTCAGCTCCTTTCCTCCTCCCCGGGTGGGAGGGTGGGGCTGAAAGTCCGACATCACTAATGCCTTGGTCCTTTCAGTGAGCAGCTCCCATGCTGAAACGTTGTAGGGGCTGCTGGCCATCAGTCAATCATTAGCATACAAAAAGGCAACATCTTAGAGATTCTAAGGATTTTAGGAGTTGTATGGGATTGAAGACCAAGTAAATATTTTGCAGTATCACACCTTGGCTCTACGATATTATACTTGGGTTTTTATTTTTCACTTCTGGCTATTTTTCAGACTTATATATTCATTCTTGGGACCCAATCACTAAATGAGTTGCTCCAGGCTTGGTTCTAGGCCCTCCTGTCATTCAGTATTGTCTGCCTAGGCACTGGAGTACAGCTTCAGTTACCATCTATAAATACTGACTCCCAAATTTGTTTGTCTGGGCCTATTCACCATTTCTACTTGAATGTTTCAAAGGCTTCTTAAAGTCAGCATATCAGAAAGCAAACTCAATTCCAACTCACACTGTTTAGAGCTATTGTATTATTATTTCCTGCCTTATTGAATGGCACCAGTTTCCAGTTCAGCTTACTAATTGATTTCTCTGCAGCTACCTCCAGTTTGCTTTCCAGGCCTCACTCATCTTTTAAAAACACCAGTCTGAACATATGTCATCCCTTTGCTTGAAATACTGCAATGACTTCCTGTTGCTGTTAGGATAAAAAAAAATCTAATGATTCTGCAAATCTAATGATCTTCATGATCTAGTCTTATCTCCCTCTGCTCATCTCGTATCACTGCCTCACTTTCTGAGCTTTAGCAACACTTGTCTTATTTCAGTTCTTTGAATCTGCAGATTTGCCCAACCATTAATCTTTGTATATGATATTCCTTGTGTCTGTAGAGCTCAGATCAAATATCACTTCTTTTAAGACAGCGGTCCCCTAGGCCAGGTGCAGTGGCTCACACCTGTAATCCCAGCACTTTGGGAGGCCGAGGCGGGTGGATTACGAGGTCAGGAATTCAAGACCATCCTGGCTAACATGGTGAAACCCTGTCTTTCCTGAAAAAAAAAAAAAAAAAAAAAAATTAGCTGGGCATGGTGGCGGGTGCCTGTAGTTCCAGCTACTCGGGAGGCTGAGGCAGGAGAATGGCGCGAACCTGGGAGGCGGAGCTTGCAGTGAGCTGAGATCACGCCACTGCGCTCCAGCCTGGGCGACACAGCGAGACTCTGTCTCAAAAAAAAAAAAAAAAACAGTGGTCCCCAACCATTTTGGCACCAGGGACCGGTTTTGTGGAAGACAATTTTTCTGTGGACTGGGGTGTGGGGGATGGCTTTCGGATGATTCAGGCACATTACATTTATAGTGCACTTTATTATTATTACATTGTAATATATAATGAAATAATTATACAACTCACCATCATGTAGAATCAGTGGGAGCCCTGAGCCTGTTTTCCCACAACTAGACAGTCCCATCTGGGGGTGATGGGAGACAGTGACAGATCATCAGGCATTAGGTTCTCATAAGGAGTGCGCAACCTAGATCCCTCTTTGCCCGGTTCACAATAGGTTTTGCGCTCCTATGAGAATCTAAGGCTTCCACTGATATGACAGGAGGCAGAGCCCAGGCGGGAATACTAGTGATGGGGAGTGGCTGTAAATACAGATGAAGCTCCGCCACCTCGCCCACTGCTCACCTCTTGCTGTGTGACCCAGTTTCTAACAGGGACCAGGACTGGTACTGGTCTGTGGCCCAGGGGTTAGGAAGCCCTGCTCTAAAAAGTTCAAAGTTTAATTTGGTTTTGCTGGGGATGGGGGAAGGCGGGATTATGTGCTCCCTGAGTTTGTAGTAAAACCTTTATTATTGAAATTATTTTATTAGTGTCTCTCCTGTTATCAGATGCTTCACCGTAAGTGTATGAGTCATGCCTTTTTTGATCCCAGTGTGCTCAGTACCTAACTCAATGCCTGGCACATAATAGAAACTAAAAAATATTTGAACAATGAATGGTATTTCTTTCTTTTGTTTTTGGAGACAGAGTCTCTGTCGCTCAGGCTGGAGTGTAATGACGTGATTTTGGCTCACTGCAACCTCTGCCTCCCAGGTTCAAGCAATTCTCCTGCCTTAGACTCCCAAGTAGCTGGGACTACAGGCGTGTACCACCACGCCTGGCTGATTTTTTGTGTTTTAGTAGAGACGGGGTTTCACTGTGTTGCCCAGGCTGGTCTCTAACTTCTGAGCTCAGGCAATCCACCTGCCTCGGCCTCCCAAATGCTGGGATTACATGTGTGAGCCACTAAGCCTGGCAATGAATGGTATTTCTTAACCCAGTTAATGAATGGTCTTAGGATTCACGGTTTCATCAAGACACACTGAATCATTTCTGTTAACATCCCATTCACTTGAGGTTTATTTAGGCATTTTGTCTTTATTTGTTAAATGCTCACTAATACTTTTATCAGTGGTGGGTTTCAGGTGTCTCTCTTTCAGACCCTCAGGATTCTCTTCAACCTGAACTAGATATATGGAAAGTAGATTCTGAGAAGCAGTATGGTGTTTCGCTGGCTGCTTCCTGCTTAGACTATTTTTATGAAAGCCTGGGTTTTTTAGATTTATTGTTATTTATTTATTTATTTTTTTGGAGACGGAGTCTCACTCTGTCTCCCAGGCTTGAGTGCCATGGCACAATCTCAGCTCACTGCAACCTCCACCTCCTGGGTTCAAGCGATTCTCCTGCCTCAGCCTCCCAAGTAACTGGGATTACAGGGCATGCCACCACACCTGGCTAATTTTTTGTATTTTAGTAGAAGACGGGGTGTCACCGTGTTGTCCAGGCTGGTCTCGAATCCTAAGCTCAGGCATTCCACCCACCTTGGCCTCCCAAAGTGCTGGGATTATAGGTGTGAGCCACCATACCCAGCCGGGTTTTTTAGATTTAAAGATGTCTTGCCAGGACGGGCAAGCTTAGCCTTACTGAGGTCATATTATTCATAAATTATTTACCAACTGTTGAATTCCCATGGTAGTATTTATCCTGTAGAATAGAATGTTATTAATACCTGCAGAAGCCTGGGAAAGTAGAACAGTTTAATTACTGTTGGAGTTGATCAACGTGTCTCAAACCGTTCTACCAGTGAACACCAGTGTTCCTGAAGATGTTTATAAATTTCTCAGAAAAGTATTGTCTTAAATAACCTTAGGAAATTTTGGGTAAAACAGGTTTGTTTATTGTAGGATGGAGTCTTTTTTTTTTTTTTTTTTTTTTTTTTTTTTTTTTGGAGATGAATTTTGCTCTTGTTGCCCAGGCTGGAGTGCAATGGTGCCATCTTGGCTCACTGCAACCTCCGCCTCCCGGATTCAAGCAATTCTCCTGCCTCAGCCTCCCAAGTAGCTGGGATTACAGGCACGCGCCACCAGGCTCTGCTAATTTTGTATTTTTAGTAGAGATAGGGTGGAGTCTTTAATATACTAACAGCTTTAAGAATGGAGTTATAATATGCTGTATTTCCCAAACTTGACATACGACTCATTTCCAAACTTTTATTACAAATTCAGCATTGGGAAATGTTGTATGAGGCCTATTGAGTTGACTTAGTCCATAGAAATGATATTTGTCATGAAATGTCATCTACCTATGTTAGTCTCTTGAAAAGATAAATGTATTCTAATGGAGCCAGAAAGCCTTTCACTATATGGACACTTGAAAATGTTCACATATTTTTATAAGAAAGCATTTTCAAAATATTGTTCAAAAACTGGATACAAAATTCTGAGAGTAAAACATCTGAGTGTGTGGCTATTAATAGCTTTTTGTTGTTTTTGTGTTGCAGGTCGGATCATGCTAAAAGGAGATAATATTACTCTGCTACAAAGTGTCTCCAACTAGAAATGATCAATGAAGTGAGAAATTGTTGAGAAGGATACAGTTTGTTTTTAGATGTCCTTTGTCCAATGTGAACATTTATTCATATTGTTTTGATTACCCTCGTGTTACTACAAGATGGCAATAAATACTATGGGATTGTTTGTATTAAAAAATTTACATTGCTTCTTACTATTCAGCAGTAGAAACTTTTTACACAGTAACACCATTCGTTGCTGGTATTTAGTTTTCTGAAGGGTCGCAGTTGCCTTGAGCACTTGGTATTCGCAGAGCTTGGACCTGTAGATTTTGAGGCAGATTAGGAATTCTGCCTGATGGGTAAGCTTCCAGTATTGGGAGGTGGAGAAGGGGAGGGTTCAGAAAAATAAATAAGAGTTATTGCACTAACAAAAGTCTTCATCACTTGTAGTTCTGGATGCTGGAATACCAGAGTTTCTAACCTAAATATGTTGGGTACATTATTTAATGGGGTCAGTATTGCTCAACACTCTCATTGAGTCACTGTGAGGTCTTTGTGAATTTTATCGCTAAGATCAGAATGTGAGAAGTATTTGGATATAGGGAAAGAATGAAGTGCCTTTCAAGTACATTAAAAATCAGTTAAGAGTTTACAGGAAAGAGACTGAGATTGGTAATCTGAAAAGGACCACAAGCATAGCTGGTAGGCAAATTGTTAGGCAGAATAATGGTATGTTGGAGAAATACACCTGTCTCTTATTCTTATCTCTTAAGAATTTTGGTTCTTCCCCCAGTGATTGCTGGTTGAATTCTTATATGGACAGGTTTCCCTTCCCCCAGTATCGCACATGGTTCTAGTTAGAATCCTGTTAGATAGTGAGCATCTGCTGTTAGCTAGACACTGTTGAATCAATACAGTGAAACAGACAGGTAAGCAGGTGGTTTTAATGCCTCATTCTAAGTGCTATTTAAATTGGATCTTGAAAGATGAATAAGGCCTGCCTTAAGTTCTGCTAAAGGCCATGTTGTTATTAAGGACGGGTGAGGAAGGACCAAGAAGTCTGGCTCCTGCTTTTCTACATGCCTGTGAAGGAGACTTTTCATGAAACTGAATAAAAGAAATCCTTTCCGAGATAGAGGAGATTTGTAGGTGAATGCAGAAGTGTATCCAGCTTTGAACCATGCATTCCATCTATATTCCTCCTGTCTGAACTCATGCTCTTTTGATTATGTTTTGAAATAAAGGGCTGCATTAGTTCTTTTAACATTTGAGTTTGAAATTAATTAAACTGATCACAACATGCAAAGAAAACATTGGGCAGCAGAGGGAGTTACAGCCCTGAGACTGCTTCAGCCCTGCTGGTGAGAAGATTGAATTGAAGCTTTTTCAGAGCAGAGCAAAGACCTCCCTGCAGCTTTCTTGGCACCAGAATAGCTGGGAAGAAGGATAAAAGCCCAGAGGAGTATAATCTCTAAGAAAACCTGCTGGCTGCCTTTTCCATTTCCCTGTGTGGCCTTTCTGACCTGGCTGCCCTGTGGAAGCAGAGCTGTGCCTGCTGTGGCTTATTCTGAATGGATCAAGACATGGAAGGTTCTATTTTTGACAGAGCAAATGATGATAGTGAGAATTAAGGTACAGTGAACTCTTACAATTGAGCTCTGTATTTAGAAATCTCTGCTTGCTTTCCTGCTCTACTGGAGCCTGTGGTGTTTGCTTTTTAAGTTGTACTTTTCCACCATCTCTAGATTGTTTCTTCCAACCAGAATTTACGAGAGGCGTTGCTCTCTGCCTCGTTAAGGTTACTAAAACATCCTGCTGGGAAGCTGCTCTTGTTGGCAGCCCTGGGTTATGTCAGCTTTTCTGGAATGGCTGTTGGTTGCTGAGGGGGTCTTGATAGACACCCCTAACCCTCATAGCATTCTTGAAGCAGGGGGTGGGAGGAATAGAGAATCAGGCTCTGAAAGAAAAGTGGTGATGTGGGCCTGCTGTTCAATTAGTAGCAGGTAGGCAGAAGGAAAAGTTTGAAAATCATAGGATATTGTGCTTTGGGGTGCCAGCTCTTGCCATATCACACTTGTCAACAGTTTCAGGATTAGAGAGTGTACCTCTAATTTGGATTAAGGCATTATGGGCTGGGAAGTGTCATGGTGGGGTAAGCCTAATAGCATCTCAGGTTAACTGGATAACACAGGCATTTTCCTTAACTAAACTATCTACTCATTCATGCTTTTGTGAGGAATTGCTTGTTAGAACTTTATTGTTGAGACAGAGTCTTGCTCTGTTGCCCAGGCTGGAGTGCAATGGCACAATCACAGTTCACTGTGACCTTGACCTCCTGGGCTCAAGTGATTCTCCCACTTAAGCGCCCCGAGTAGCTGGGACCACAGGCACACACCACCAAGCCTGGCAGTTTTTTTGTTTTTTGTTTTTTTTAATGGCAGAGGTAGTTGAGGCTTTATTTTGGAAAAAACAAAAAACAAATTGTTTTATAGCTGGAGTCATGGGCCAGGGGGGTACCCCAGGCAATAAACTCCCTCCATGAGTGGGCTGAGAGCTAGGACTGAGCCTCTCTTAGGTGAGGCTATGTTCACTTCTGTTCCCTATGCTCCCCTGCACAGTGGCCTCTTCCACAGGCTCTGGGGCATCCACAGGAAGGGATGGGCTGGGAGGGGCTGCCATGGCCATTTACTTGGGCAGGACATCAGAGGACTTGGACACCAGCTTCCCATCTCGCGTCTCTATTTTCTTTACAACTACGGCACCTGGAGGAACCCTGGAGAAGCTGGTGCGGCTGAAGGAGCTAGAGCCCCTGCCAGAGCCAAAGCTGGAGCCTAGCCATAGATGAGGCCAGGGCTTGTGAGGCCCCATAGGCCAAGCTCAGTGCACCTGAGCAGCCATTGGTGGTCTTTATATATATACTTATGTTCGGCATCCCAGACTCCAGCCTGTTCTTGTTGCCCTCCAGCAGCTTCATGTAGGTGGCAACCTCTGTGTCCAGGGCCAGCTTGACATTCCTCAGCTCCTAGTATGCCTGCTTGGGGGTGGTGTCTTTTAAAAAAAAAAATTATTTTTAAATTTTTATTTATTTTTTTGAGACTGGGTTATAAGACTAGCTAATTTTTGTATTTTTGTTAGAGGACTTTGCTGTGTTGCCCAGGCTGGTCTCGAACTCCTGGCCTCAAACAATCCATCTGCCTCGGCCTCCCAAGGTACTGGGATTAACAGAGGTGAGCCACTGCAGCCAGCCGCATTGCTGTCCTTAATGGCGGCTCCCACGCTGCTTGGCATTCGTGATGGCAGCCTCCAGGGAAGTCTTCTGGCCTTTGAGGCTCTCAGTCTCAGCCTGGAGCCAGCTGATGTTCTGGTTCATTTCAGAGATTTTTGTCTTTGTGCGACACATCATCTTCATGCTTCCCAGCCAGTGTCTGCAGTTCCTCGTACTTGATCTGGTGTGTGTTCTCAGCCTGGCCCAGCTGTGGTTGGCAATCTCGTACTGGTCCTTGACCTCAGTGGTGATGCTGTCTGTGTCCGTGGAGTGGCTGTTGTCCATGGACAGGACCACAGATGTGTCCAAGATCTAGGACTGCAGCTCCTGGATCTCCTCTTCATACAGCTGCCTGATGAAATTGATCTCGTCAATCAGCCCTTCCATGCAAGACTCCAGCTCTACATTCTTCATGTAAGCTTTGTCCGTAAACTTCTTGATGAAGACAAATGCATTGTCCATCTCTGTACACTTATTGATCTCATCCTCATGCTTATTCTTGAAGTCCTCCAGCAGCCCCTCCATGTTGCCAAGCTCTGCCTCCAGCTTCAGCTGCTCCTGGCCCAGAATGTACAGCTGCTGCTGAAGGTTGTTGATGTAGCTCTCGAGCATGTTGTCCATGTTGCTCTGTGCCGTCTTCTGCTGCTACTGGAGGCTACACTTGCTCTGCAGCATCTTGTTCTGCTGCTCCAGGAGCTGTATCGTGTCAGTGATGGAGGCAAACTTATTGTTAAGAGTCTTGATCTGCTCTTTCTCCTGGGTACACATGGCCTGGATGTTCGGTTACACCTCCAGCTTAAGGGGGCTCAGCAGGCTCTGGTTCATCATGATGGCTGTGATGCTGCCCATTACCACTGGCCCTGCTATAGCCTCCACTCAGACCCAGGCCACCCCAGAAGCACTGCTGCTACCCACTTGGGAGAGCCTTGAGGAGCTAATGCAGCATTGGGCCTATTCATTTAGAAGCAGCTGCTGAAGACCCAGGGACCAGAGGTGGATACCTTGTAGGACTTCTGGGTCACCCTGATGAACATGGTAGAGGCAAGAGTGGAGGCAGATGGTCCAAACCAGGCAGAGATTTGAGAGGGAGTAGAGAAGCTACATCTAGGTATAATTTTTAATTTTTTTTTTTGTAAAGATGGGATCGCACCTTGTTGCCCAGGCTAGTCTCAAACTCCTGAGGTCAAGCAATCCTCCTGCTTTGGCCTCCCAAAGTGCTGGGATTACAGGTGTGAGCCACTGCGCTCAGCAAAACTTTATTTTTAAGGTAGCTTGAGAACTTAAGTCTATTAGTACCTGGAGATGAACTTAAAAGTTATATCCAATGGAATTATTAAAAATTTAAAAGTATTAGCTTAGTACATTTTTATGATCAAAATCCAAACAGTATATAGAAATAGAAAAAAAATTGCTCCTTTTCCTACTAGTATTCTCCTTAGATGAGCACTGTTAAGAGTTAGATACTTATCCTTCTAAACTTCATACTAATAGGTATAGGTTGTTTTGTTTATCATTTTGGTATTTTATTCCTTTTTTAAAAAATTAGTTTTACGTTGAGTGCAGTGGCTTACACCTGTAATTCCAGCACTTTGGGAGGCTGAGGCAGGAGGATCACATGAGTTTAGGAGTTCGAGACCAGCCTAGGCAACATGGTGAGACCCCATTTCTTTTTTTCTTTTTTTTTATTTTTGAGACGGAGTTTCGCTCTCTTTGCCCAGGCTGGAGTGCAATGGCATGATCTCGGCTCACCACAACCTCCACCTCCAGGGTTCAAGCAATTCTCCTGCCTCAGCCTCCCAAGTAGCTGGGATTACAGGCATGCACCACCATGCCTGGCTAAATTTTTTTGTAATTTTAGTAGAGATGGGGTTTCTCCATGTTGGTCAGGCTGGTCTCGAACTCCCAACCTCAGGTGGTCCACTGCCTCGGCCTCCTAAAAAGTGCTGGGATTACAGGTGTGAGCCACTGCGCCTGGCCTGTGAAACCCCATTTCTATAAAAAATAAATTTTAAAAAAGCCAGTTAGGGCTGTGGTCCCAGCTACTTCAGAGGTTGAGGCAGGAGGATTACTTGTGCCTAGGAGGTTGATAGAGGCTACAGTGAGCTACGTTTATGCCACTGCATTCCAGCCTGGGTGACAGTGAGACCCTGACTCAAAAGAATAAAAAATTGTTTTGAATTGTGGTAAAGTACACATATATTTACCATCTTAACCGTTTTTAAGTGTACAGTTCAGTAGTGTTAAGTATATTCACATTGTGCAACCAATCGCCAGAACTTTTCATCTTGCAGGACTGAAACTCTGTACCTATTAACTCTACATTTTCCCTAATCCCCTGGCAATCACCATTCTTCCTTTCTCTGATTTTTTCTGTTCTAAGTACTTAATATAATAGGATCACGCAGTATTTGTCTCTTTGTGACTGGCTTATTTTATTTAGCATAATGTCCTCAAGCTTCATTCATGTTATAGAAAACGTCAGAATTTTTTTTTCCGTTTTTTTGGGGGACCATGGGATGAAGACAGAGTCTCGCTCCGTCACCCAGGCTGGAGCGCAGTGATGCGATCTCGGTTCACTGCAACTTCCACCTCCCAGGTTCAAGTGATTCTCATGCCTCAGCCTCCTGTGTAGCTTGGACTACAGGTGTGTGCCACCATGCCTGGCTAATTTTTTCATACATTTAGTAGAGGCAAGGTTTCACTGTGTTAGCCAGGCTGGTCTTGGAACTCCTGGCCTCAAGTGATCCACCCGCCTCAGCCTTCCAAGTGCTGGGATTACAGGCGTGAGCCACCATGCCCAGCCTCTTTCTTTCTTTTTAAGGCTGAATAATATTCCATTGTATCCACATTTCACATTTTGTTTATTCGTCCATTGATGCACCATCTGGGTTGCTTCCATCTTTGCCTATAGTGAATAATATTGCTATGACCATGGGTATACAAACTTCTCTTTGAGAACATGCTTTCAGTTCTTTTGGATATATACCTAGAAGTAGAATTGCTAGATCATATGCTAATTTTGTTTTTAAATTTTTGAGGAACTGCCCTATTATTTTTCATAGCAGTTTCACCATTTCACATTTTCACTAGCAGTGGATAAGGGTTCCAGTTTCACCATATTTTTGCTGACACTTTCCTGGTTGTTTTGATAGCCACCATTCTAATGGGTATGAAATGGTATCATTGTGGTTTTGATTTGTATTTCCCTAACAATTAATTGATGTTAAGTATCTTTTCATGTTTATTGGCTATTCAGATGGAGAAGTGCCTATTCAAATCCTTTGCCCATTTTAAAACAGGTTATTTCGCTTTTAGTTGTTGAGTTGTAGGAGTTCTTTGTATATTTGGGATATTAACCTCTTATCAGATATGTGATGTTTTCTCCCATTCCATAGATTGCCTTTTTTCCCTCCATTGATTGGGTCCTTTGATGCAAAGAAGTTTTTTAATTTTGATGTTCATTTTATCTATTTTTACCTCTATTGCCTTTTTGGTGTCTTAGGTATTTTTACTTTGGAGAGGGTTTTTCTTTTTTTCTTGTTTTTACAGTTGAGTATCCCAAATCCAAAATCTGACATGCTCCAAAATCTGAAG
The DNA here is from genome assembly GCF_000001405.40 of Homo sapiens. Classification (NCBI taxonomy): domain Eukaryota; kingdom Metazoa; phylum Chordata; class Mammalia; order Primates; family Hominidae; genus Homo; species Homo sapiens. The sequence continues at coordinate 203,876,748 of NC_000001.11, forward strand.
TTTTTTTGAGAGCCGACATGACACTCAAAGGAAATGCTCATTGGAGAATTTTGGATTTTGGATTTTCAGATTTGGCATGATTAATGGGTAAGTATAATGCAAATATTTCAAAATCTGAAAAAACCTGCAGTCTGAAACACTTCTGGTCCAAAACATTTTGGGTAAAGGATACTCAAACTGTAGTTTTTGTTATAAGTAGACAGTTTATAATAGTACTTTTTTTTTTTTTTTTTTGAGACAGAGTCTCGCTCTTGCCCAGACTGGAGTGCAGTGGCACGATCTCTGCTCACTGCAACCGCCACCCCTTGGGTTCAAGCAATTCTCATGTCTCAGCCTCCCTAGTAGCTGGGATTACAGGCGCCCACCACCACGCCCAACTAATTTTCATATTTTTATTAGAGATGGGGTTTTGCCACGTTGGCCAGGCTGGTTTCAAACTCCTAACCTCAAGTGATCTGCCCGCCTCAGCCTCCGAAAGTGCTGGGATTACAGGCATGAGCCGTCGCATCCGGCCTTAAAATAGTACTTATTTATGGAGCACAAAGTGATGTTACATTTATGACTACAATGTAAAATAATTAAATCAAGCTAATTAACATATTCATCACTTCAAACACCTTTTTTTATGGTGAGAACATTCGAAAGTTAGCAATTTTGAAATGTTCGATACACTGTTATGAACTACATTTGTAATGATGTATGATAGGTATCAGAGACTTACTTCTTATTTCTCTGTCTCATATCTTTTGTTTGTTTGTTTGAGACAGAGTCTCACTCTGTCACCCAGGCTGGAGTGCAGTGGTGCAATCTCAGCTCACTGCAACCTCCGCCTCCCGTGTTCAAGTGATTGTCCTGCCTCAGCCTCCCGAGTAGCTGGGATTACAGGTGTGCACCACCACATCCAGCTAATTTTTGTAATTTTAGTAGAGACAGGGTTTTGCCGTGTTGGCCAGACTGGTCTCAAAGCCCTGACCTCAAGTAATCACCCCGCCTCGGCCTTCCAAAGTGCTGGGATTATAGGCCTGAACCACTGCACACAGCCGTCTGACATCTTTTTAAAGAGACCAGTTCTCACTATATTGCCCACTGTGCCTGGCTTAACTGAGATTTTGTACCCATTTACTGTTACCACACCATTCTGCTCACTCTCCAGCCTTTGAAACCACTGTTCTCAGCCTCTATGAGTTCAATGGTTTTAAATTTCACTTGTGAGAATTTGTCTTCCTGTGCCTGGCTTATTTTTTCTTGCATAATGTTCTCCAATTCCTTCACATTGTTTCAAATGGCAGAATTTCCTTTTTTAAGGCTGAGTATTATTTCATCATCTATATATAACACATTTTCTTTATCCATTCCTCTGTTGTTTGTTTGCTTGTTTGAGACAGGGTCTTACTCTGTTGCCAAGGCTGTAGTGCAGTGGCATGACTACGGCTAACTGCAGCCTCAAACTCCTGGGCTCAGATGTTCCTTCCACCTCAGCCTTCTGAGTAGCTGGGACTACAGGTGTGTACACCACACCTGGCTAATTTTCTTTTTGTATTTTTTATAGAGACAGGGTTTTGCCATGTTGCCCAGACTGGTCCTGCAAACTCCTGGGATCAAGCCATCCTCCTGCCTTGGCCTCCCAAAATGTTGGGATTACAGGTGTGAGCCACTGCACCAGCCATTGATTCCTCTGTTGATGAGCACTTAGGTTGATTCCATCACTTGGCTATTGTGAATAGTGTTGCGATAAACATGGGAGTGTTGATATGTCTTTGACAAACTGATTTCAGATCTCCATACAGTTTTTCATAATGGCTATTCTAATTTACATTACCACCAATTATACATACGTTTTCTGTTTTCCCCACATCTTCTGCAACACTTAACCTTTTTTTGATAATAGCCATTCTGGCAAGTGTGAGATGATATCTCATTGTGGTTTAAATTTATGTTTCCCTAATGATTAGCAATATTATACATTTTTTCTTTTCTTTTTTTTTTGATACAGGGTCTCACTTTGTCACTCAGGCTGAAGTGCAGTGGCACCACCTTGGCTCACTGCAGCCTCGACCTCCTGGGGTCAAGTGATTCTCCTGCCACAGCCCTGAACAGGCAGTCTAGCTGTGTCGTTATCCCCACTGTTCCTTTTGAGGTAGGACTAGGTTGGACTTCCTGAGAAGCACTTCAGAATGCTAGGGAAGCGGTGTGACTGCCTTCAGCCCTCTTTTCTCCTGTAGAAACCATGGGCCCAAGGAAATTCTCTCCCCCTGGTGATGTGCTAGCTTGGGGAAGGGGTGGCATGGTCAAAGTGAGACTGTATCTCCCTACCCCTCTAATTCAATTTTCAATCAGTCCTTTGGACCACACATGTGTTTTAGGCTTGTTTCCAAATATTGGGGTTTTCAAAAAGATATTCTAGTCTGTGGATAGTTGCTAGTTGAACTTTCTGGAGGTGTCAGGGACTGGAGTCTGAGACTTCCTATTCTGCCATCTTGCTGGATGTCACTCCCCACATTTTTACTCTATACGCACATACTCTCTGCAGCTTGGCTCTTGCCAGTAAAACTTGGACATAATTCCATGTTAAATAGCTGTGACATTCTCCATTGTATGCTCTCCCAATTTAAGTAATCAGCCCCTTATTTATGGATATTCTAGGGTCTTTCCAATTTCTTGCTGTTACAAAGAGTTTTTGTAATGTACATCTTTATATCTGTTTGTGTCTATTTACATGTTTCTGTGAGATGAATTGTTGCAAGTGGAATTGCTAAATCAAAGGATATGTACATTTAAAAAAATTCTGTAGGTACTTCTAAATTGCCTTCTAAAGAACATATGAGAAAATTGTTTTCCTTATACCAGCCAACCATCAGGCAGCAGTTTTAATAAAAATGAAAGTCTCAATCAGGGGCCATGGCTCACGCCTGTAATCCTAGCACTTTGGGAGGCTGAGGTGGGTGGATCATCTGAGATCAGGAGTTCGAGACCAGCCTAACATGGTGAAACTCCATCTCTACTAAAACCGTAAAAAATTAGCCGGGCATGGTGGTGCACGCCTGTAGTCTCAGTTACTCGGGAGGCTGAGGCAGGAGAATCGCTTGAACCCAGGAGGCAGAGGTTGCAGTGAGCTAACATTGCTCTACTGTACTCCAGCCTGGGTGACAGAGTGAGACTCTGTCTCAAAAAAAAAAAAAAAAAACAAACCTGAAAGGCTCATTGTGATGCTAGTATGAAAGAATTGCCAACATCCTAAGGATGCTGGAGTAGAAAAAAAAAAAAAACAACCCTATTCTTTAGTGACTATTAAACCACTGAATTAATCAATACCGGAACTGCCTTAACAACAAACTTATTATGCAAGATAATAAATTTTCCTGTTGTTTAAACCAGCTTGGGTTGAATTGTGTTACTTACAGACTAATGCATTATAACTATTACAGCTTCAGACCAGGAGTCCCTCTCTTCAGTACCTTTTAATCTTAGAAGGGGATCATGTGTCCAATGAAGAATTGTTAAATGCTAAATCCTTGAAAAAGTTGGCAGTTGAAGTGATAATCTTGGACTGTATGGGGGAATACAAATGAAGAAGTGATGCAACTGATTTTACTCAGTAAACCAGTGAATATTACTCCCTCCTCTAATTAAGAAAATAATTCGGCCAGACACAATGGCTCACGCCTATAATCCCAGCACTTTGGGAGGCTGGGGCAAGCGGATCACGAGGTCAGGAGTTCCAGACCAGCCTGACCAACATGGTGAAACCCCGTCTCTACTAAAAATACAAAAATTAGCTGGGCATGGTGGTGGGCACCTGTAATCCCAGCTACTCAGGAGGCTGAGGCAGGAGAATCGCTTGAACCCAGGAGGCAGAGGTTGCCGTGAGCCGAGATCACGCCACCATTGCACTCCAGCCTGGGTGACAGAGCAAGACTCCGTCTCAAAAAAAAAAAGAATTCCTGGGAAAGATGATCTGGATTTTCATTTCATGTCCATAGAAACTGCTATCTCTGGAGTGCTAAGAGATTAGCTGTGTCCCCAGGGCCATCCTGAGATAAAGGTGTTTTGCTGGGCAGGGAAATTGCAGAGGGGAACTGGGAAGAAAGAACAAATGAATACTTCTTCCTGATGAACTGATTGCTAAATCAGAGATATGGTAGACAGTAGGAATGGAATGGGTGACGGAGTATTTTCTTTAGAAAAGCCAACTTCTTTAGATTCTGAACTTGATAGGGGACTCAGTTTTTGTGGATATATTTTAGTTCTCACCATTGTTGGCTTTTATTGGATATTATTATATGCTAGGCACAATGAAGAACATAAAATTCAGTCTGTCTTTGGAGATTTGGTGGTACAGTACAGTACAGAGGGAAAGATGACATTGAGACATTTAAACCCAGTCCAACATACCTGGGTTTAAATCCCAACTTTATAACTACCCATACCTCTCAACCTCAGTTTCATAGAGCTGTTGGAATAACGTAATGAGATAGTACATATAAAGTGCCTTATCAGGCCCCAAAAATGAAAATGATTTATAGTTTAAATGATTTATCTAGGAATATGTGTGGGGAAAAGGTAAACTCAAACTTCTGTTCCACATAGAGCAAGATAAGAAATTACAATTTTGAGGATCAGTTTTGTTTATTTAGGCAAGCTTATTAAGGTATAATTTATAGGTACCAAAACTCATGCTTTTTACCTGTATACTTTGATGATTTCTGACAAGTGTATACAGTCATGTAACCGTTACCACAGTCAAAATATACAATATTTCTATGATCTCAAATGTTGCCCTAGGCCCCTTTACAGTCAACCTGTCTCACTCACCCACAGCTCCTAGTAACCACTGACGTGATTTCCGACTCTATAGTATTATATTTTTCCAAATTTTATAAATGAAATCTTATAATATGTAACCTTTTGTATCTAGCTTCCTTCATACAATTTTTTTTTTTTTTGACAGAGTCTCACTCTGTTTCCCAGGCTGGAGTGCAGTGATGCAGTCTCGGCTCACTGAAACCTCCGTCTCCCAGGTTCAAGCAATTCTCCTGCCTCAGCCTCCTGAGGAGCTAGGATCACAGGCACATGCCACCACATCAGGCTGATTTTTGTATTTTTAGTAAAGATGGGGGTTTCACCATGTTGGCCAGGCTGGTCTTGAAATCTTGACCTCTAGTGATCCACCTGCCTCAGCCTCAGCCTTCCAAAGTGCTGGGATTATAGGCATGAGCCACCACGCTCGGCCCATACAATGCTTTTGAGATTTATTAATTTCTTGCATGTATCAATAGTTTGTTCCATTTAGTTACTGATTAATATTTCTTTGTATGGATGTACTTTTGTTGATTAAGTATTAATAGTTGACATTAGGCTGGGCACTGTGGCTCATACCTGTAAATCCTAGCACATTCTAGGAGGCCAAGGCAGGTGGATCACTTGAGGTCAGGAGTTCAAAACCAGCCTGGCCAACATGGTGAAACCCTGTCTCAACTAAAAAAAAAAAAAAAAATAGCTGGACGTGGTGGTGGGTGGCTGTAATCCCAGCTACTTGGGAGGCTGAGGCAGGAGAATCGCTTGAACTGGGGAGGCGGTGGTTGCAGTGAGCTAAGATCGTGCCACTGCACTCCAGCCTGGGGGCAACAGAGCAAGACTCCATCTCAAAAAAAAAAAAAAAAAGAAGTTGACATTAAGGATGTTTACAGCTTAGGGCAATTTTGCATAAAGTAAAATTTATGTGTAGGCCTTTTGTAAACATTTGAACTTTTTTGGATGAATATCTAGGAATGTGATGGTTAGGTCAAATGATTAGTTGTGTTTAACTTTGTGAGAGGTTCTCAGACTGTTTTTGAAAGTGGTGGCACCATTTTGCATGCCCACTAGCAATGTTTAAGAGTTCTGGTTGCGGCTAGGCACCATGGCTCACACCGGTAATCCCAGCACTTTGTGAGGCCAAGATGGGCGGATCATGAGGTCAGGAGATCGAGACCACCTGGCTAACACATTGAAACCCCGTCTCTACTAAAAATTAGCTGGGTGTGGTGGCATGTACCTGTAGTCCCAGCTACTTGGCTTGGGAGGCTGAGGCAGGAGAATCACTTGAACCTGGGAGGCAGAGGTTTCAGTGAGCCGAGATCATGCCACTGCACTTAACCTGGCAACAAAGTGAGACTCCGTCTCCAAAAAAAAAAAAAAAAAAAGTTCTAGTTGCTCTGTATCCTCACCAACACTTGGTATTGTCAGATTTATTTTTTGTTTTTGTTTTTTTCTCCATGCTAATAGATGAATAGCAGTATCTCATTGTTTTAATTGTCATTTTCCTGTGACAAATGATTTTGTGTGTCTTTTCATGTGCTTATTTGATATCACATATTTCTTTGGTGAAGTATCTCTTAAGACTTTTTGCTGATTTTTAAAAATTGGGTTGTTTGATTTCCTTTTTTATGTGTGTGTTGGGAGGGTTCTTCTGGATGAAAAGTTCCTTATCAAGTGTTTTGCAAATATTTTCTGCTGGTCTGTGGCTTGTCTTCATTTCTCTATAATATCTTTAAAGAACACAAGTTTTAGCCTGGACAACATGGTGAAACCCCATCTCTACAAAATTTAGCTGGCTGGGCATGGTGGTGCACACCTGTAGTCCCAGCTACCTGGGGGACTGAAGTCTGGGGGGCTGAGGTGGGAGATCATTTGAACCTGGAAAGTCGAGGCTACAGTGAGCTGAGATCATGCCACTGCACTCCAGCCTTAGAAACAGAGTGAGAACCTGTCTCAAAAAAAAAAGAACACAAGTTTTATGTTTGTATTTATTTATTTATTTATTTATTTATTTATTTATTTATTTTTGGAGACAGAGTCTTGGTCTGTCGCCCAGGCTGGAGTGCAGTGGCACAATTTCAGCTCACTGCAACTTCCACCTCCCTGGTTCAAGCAATTCTCCTGCCTCAGCCTCCCGAGTAGCTGGGACTACAGGTACACGCTGCCACACCTGGCTAACTTTTTATATTTTAGTAGAGACGGAGTTTTACCATGTTGCCCAGGCTACTCTCAAACTCCTAAGCTCAGGCAATCCGCCCGCATTGGCCTCCCAAAATGCTAAGATTACAGGCGTGAGCCACCACACCTGGCCTCTTTTAAAATTCTTATATTTTTACATTTATGATATATTTTGGGTTAATTTTTAAAATAATGGTGTGAGTTATGGATTATGGTTCATTTTTTTTCATATGGATGATCAGTTATTCAAGAACCATTTGTTTAAGGCTATTGGTTTTCAATGAATTGCCTTAGTACCTTTTTTCAAAACCAATTGACCATATATGTGGGTATTTTTCTGAATTCTCTTATTGTTTCGTTGACCTATAGGTCTGTTGTTTTAATGATACCACATTGTCTTGATTACTTTAGCTTTGTAGTAAACTTTGGCCTCGGGTAATTTGAATCCTCCAATTGTGTTCTTCCTTTTCAAAGTATTTTGGCTATTCTAGGGTCTTTACCTTTCCATTTAGATTTTAGAATCAGTTTATTGATTTCTTTAAAAAAAACAACAACCTGGGATTTTGGTTGAGATTGATTAACTCTATTAAGCATTTTGGGGTAAATTGTCATCCTAACAATATTGTTGGCTGGGTGCAGTGGCTCATGCCTGTAATCCCAGCACTTTGGGAGGCCGAGGCGGGTGGATCACCTGAGGTCAGGAGTTCAAGACCAGCCTGGCCAACATGGTGAAACCCCATCTCTACTAAAAATACAAAAAAATTAGTCAGGCGTGGTGGTGGTGGTGTGTGCCTGTAATCCCAGCTACTCGGGAGGCTGAGACAGGAGAATTGCTTGAACCTGGGAAGTGGAGGTTGCAGTGAGCCGAAATCGAGCTACTGCACTCCAGCCTGGGCAACAAGAGCGAAAATCTGTCTCAAAGCAAACAAATGAAAAACAATATTGTCTTCCAGTGGTGAATATGGTATATCTCCCCATTTATTTGGATTTTTCTTCTGTTTCTCTCATCAGTATTTTGTAGTTTTCAGCTTTACCACATTTTGTTAGGTTTATCCCTTCACGAGTATTTCTCTTTTTTTCTTTTTTTGAGACAGTGTCACTCTTGTTGACCAGGCTGGAGTGCAGAGGTGGGGTCATGGCGCACTGCAGCCTTGACTTCTCAGGCTCAGGTGATTCTCCCACCTCAGCCTCCCAAGTAGCTGGGACTACAGCTGCATGCCACCATGCCCAGCTAATTTTTTGTATTTTTAGTAGAGGAAGGATTTCACCATGTTGCCCAGGCTGGTCTCAAACTTCTGGGCTCAAGTGATTGCCCTGCCTTGGCCTCCCAAACTGTTGGGATTGCAGGCATGAGCCACTGTACCTGGCTGTTTTATATTTTTGATGCCACTGTAAATGGTACTGTTTTTATAATTTTGACTTCCAATTGTTTTTATTGACCTTGTATCCTATGACCTTACTAAACTCAGTTCTTTGTTGTAGTAGGTGTTTTTTTGTAGATTGCTTGGGATTTTCTTTTTTAAGTTGTCTATAAGGTATACAACACTGAAATAATTACTACAGTCAGGCAAATTAACCTGTCACCTTCCATAGTTACCTGTTTTTTTGTCTGGTAAGAGCACTTAAAATCTACGGTCTTAGCAAATTTTTCATATGTAATACAGTATTATTAACCGTTTTCCTCATGCTGCCCATTAGGTCTCTAGGCCTGCTCATCGTACACAACTGCCAGTTTTTGCCCTTTAATCTACCATTCCCCATTTCTCCCCTTCCCTGCCCCTGGTAACTGCTGTTCTCCTCTGTTTCTATGTACAGATGATCTCTAACTTACAATTTTTCAACTTTCGGATGGTGAGAAAATAATATACATTTAGTACACTCCTTGACTTACTATGGGGCTATAGCCAGATAAACCCATTGTAAGTTTAATATATAATAAGTAAAAAACAAAAGTTTCTTTTTTTTTTTCCAGATGGAGTCTCACTCTGTCACCCAGGCTGGAGTGCAGTGGTGCCATTGTGGCTCACTGCAACCTCTGCCTACCAGGTTCAAGCGATTCTCATGCCTCATCCTCTTGAGTAGTTGGGATTATAGGTACCTGCCACCATGCCCAGTTAATTTTTGTATTTTTTGTTTTAGTAGAGACAGGGTTTCACCATGTTGGCCACGCTGGTCTCAAACTCCTGACCTCAAGTGATCCACCTGTCTCGCCTCCCAAAGTGCTGGGATTACACGCATGAGCCACTACACCTGGCCTTATTTTCTTTTTTCTTTTTGAGATGGAGTCTTGCTCTTTCATGTAGGCTGGAGTGCAGTGGTGCGATCTTGGCTCACTGCAACCTCCACCTCCAGGGCTCAAGCGATTCTCCTGCCTCAACCTCCCAAGTAGCTGGGATTACAGCAGTGAGTCACTGTGCCCAGCCCTTATTTTCAATTTATGGTATTTTCAATTTAGAATGGCTTTATTAGGACATGACCCCTTCATAAGTCAAGGAGCATCTGTATTTGACTTTTTTAGAGAGTCTACATATAAAAGATTATGCAGTACATTTCTCTTTTTTTTTTCCTGAGACAAGAGTTTTGCTCTTGTTGCCCAGGCTGGAGTACAATGGCGAGATCTTGGCTTACTGCAAACTCTGCCTCCCGGGTTCAAGCGATTCTTCTGCCTCAGTCGCCCAAGTAGCTGGGATTACAGGCGCCTGCCACCAAGCCCAGCTAATTTTTTGTATTTTTAGTACAGACAGGGTTTCGCCATGTTGGCCAGGTTGATCTCGAACTCCTGACCTCAGGTGATCCGCCCACCTCGGCCTCCTAAAGTGCTGGGAGCACACAGTGAAAACGACATTTGCCTGTGCAATAGAAATTAAAATCCTTAGCATGACTTTCAATGTTTTCTATAATCTGCCTTCAACCTGCCCTTCACCCTTATCTCGCAGGACTACCCTATAAGAATACTCTGTATTCCAAACAGATACTCCAACTCCCTCCCCCTAAGTTTACCAATCTCCATGGTTTGTTTTTATGGCTTTAAATATGAATTCAATTACTTTAATAGATCTAGGACTATCCAGGTTATCTACTTCCATTTGAGTGAACTTTGAGAGTTGTGTTTTTATTCTATTGCTCCTTGCAGAGCAGAGGTACCCCATAGGCAGTGTGCCCAGAATAGCCCAGGGGAGCTGGAGTTGTGTTTTTTAAGGGATTTGTCCATTTCATCTAAGCTATTAAATTTATTGGCACAAAGTAGTTCACAATATTCCCTTATCCTTTTAATGCCTGTAGGATCTGTAGAGGTATCTTTACTTTCATTCTTCATCTATTCTGTTCTTTATTATTTCTATGTATCTCTTTATTTGGGTTTAATCTGATCTTTTTCTAGTTTCTTAAGGCAGAAGCTTTGGTTACTGATTGAAAACATGCCTTATTTTTTAAAAAAATTTTTATTATTTTTTTGAGATGGAATTTCGCTGTGTTGCCTAGGCTGAAGGGCAGTGGAGTGATCTCAGCTCACTGCAACCTCCCCTTCCCAGGTTCAAGTGATTCTCCTGCCTCAGCCTCCCAAGTAGGTGGGATTACAGGCGTGTACCACCAGAGCATGGAGCAGACATCGCATAAAAAATTTGGTTCCTCAAATTCAAGGTTTTTCTGCTCATAACACAACCCATTGCACGTGAGTATCATTTGGCCATCCTTGCATTGCCTTTGAGAATTAGGATTTGGGGAACTTGTAAGAAAATGCTGATATATTGGATATTGTCCTTGATAAGAGTAGTAAACTGTCCTCTGACTCACATTTCACATGTTTTCTACTAGCACCCATGAAACCATGCGGGGAGGGGGGCTTGCTTAGCCTGCAAGTAGGGTAAAACTAAGGATACTTAATGGTTCTTTACATCACCTTACTTGTTTTTTGTTTGTCCCATCCCCATCTCTTTTTTTCCTCAAAATTTTTGTTTTCCTTTGGATGATTTTTATGATTTCATTTTATATCTACTGTTAAACTTATTAGCTATACTCCATTTTTTAAAAGACTTTTACTTGATTACCTAGGGATTACAGTATACATCTTTCTTACTACAGTTTACTTTCAGTAGCTTTTTTTGTTTTGTTTTGTTTTTGTTTTTGTTTTTGAGATGGAGTTTTGCTTTTGTCGCCCAGGCTGGAGTGCAGTGGCACGATCCAACTCACTGCAACTTCTGCCTCCTGGGTTCAAACGATTCTCCTGCCTCAGCCTCTGGAGTAGCTGGGATTACAGGTGTCCACCACCATGCCCAGCTAATTTTTGTATTTTTGGTAGAGATGGGGTTTCACCATGTTGGCTAGGCTGGTCTTGAACTGCTGACCCCAGATGATACACCCACCTTGGCCTCCCAAAGTGTTGGGATTACAGGCATGAGCCACCGTGCCCAGTCTGCTTTCAGTAGTATTTTAACACTCCATGTATGCTATGAGACTCTTATACCTCCAATTCCTCCCTTCATTGTGCGTTTTTGTTGTTGTTGTTGTTGTTTGTTTAAGAGACAGGATCTTGCTCTGTCTCCTAGGCTGGAGTGCAATGGCACAATCATAGCTCAGTGCAGCCTTGAACTCCTGACTCAAGTGATCCTCCTGCCTTGGCCTCCCCTATAGCTAGGACTACAGGGATGCACCACCATGCCTAGCTAATTGTTTTGTTTTTTGGGTTTTTTTTTTTTTTTGCGTGTGTAGAGATAGGGTCTGTGTTTTCCAGGTTGGTCTCAATCTCCTGGGCTCAAGTGATCCTCCTGCCTCAGCCTCCCAAAGTATTGAGATTACAGGCATGAGCCACTGTGCCCAGCCCTCTTTGTACTCTTTTCGTCATACTTTTAGTTCTCAGTCCCATAATACATTGTTACTATCTTTGCTTTAGGCAGTTATTGAGATTCACATCATGTGCCTGAATATTGGGTTGGGAAGTCCCATATTTTCTCTTATGAATTTTAAAAATTTTATCAAAATTTTGGACTAGAAATAATTTTTTGGGTCATTCTTTTTGAAAAGGTGTATGGTTTTTTGCTAAGTGGATCTTTTCTTGGCTTCTAGTTGAGACCTTTCCACACATAACTTTCCCACCCACTCTTGAGGAAACCTGAAGCCTGATTCCATTTATGTATAGGATCCTTCTGAAGTCTTGGCTGGAGTTCAGTTTCAGGGAATTAGCAGCAGGAAAGGCTGGAGGGAAGGTCAGTGAGGGCATTTCATTTTCTTCTCTTATTGTTAATTTCCTTGAGACACCTAAAGAAAAGAAAAAGTACTTTCTACTCCAATCTTTCTACCTTGTTTTAACTCTAGGGTGTTTCTTTTTTTCCCCATTCCATTGTTAAGACAGGAATCAGGGTTTTTTACAATGTATCACCCATAATCATGCTTTCTACAATAGTCATTTCCTGTTGCCCTCTAAGCTTTGTTCATGGTATTCCATTGAGTTGACAAATCATAATTTATAATACATTTCTTTGTGAAGCTCAGCTTTTTCATTATTACAAATTATGCCACAGTAAACATCTTTGTGCATCTTTTATACCTCATGAAGTGTATTTCTATGAGCAGGTATCTATATTTTATAACAGCATTTTTATAGTTATTACGTATTATAAATAAGATTTAGAAAAAGAAGGACATTGGGAATGTATATACCCTGGGGGAAAAGGTCTTATGACTTTGCCTAGAGAAAAATAAATAGATTGAATTGATTATAGACTTGTTGGAGACAGGTTATTGAGAGGGAAATGTCAAAAATTTGGCTATGAATTTCAACTATGCTTTTTTCAGAGATTAGTATTTGAGGTTTAAATACCTCTTAACTGTTTTTTAAAATCAGTATGTTGAGTCCATTCCTGAGTTGAAATTTTGACATACTTCTTCCTGTTGTGAAATCTGCTTACAAAGATTTAGGCAATGTTTTAATATATATGTATGTGTGTGTGCTAGTGTGTTGTGTAGGAATAAAGCAAAATCACCACGGAAATGAGGTATTCTGTAACTCTTCATAAAGGACCTATGCCTATGCTGTTTAATATAGTTGTCACTAACCATAAGTGGCTATTGAGCACTTAAAATGTGCTAAGGCTAAGGAACGTACTTTTTGGTTTAGAAAACCTTTAAGTATGTTTGGAACAACTTGTGTACGACAGTCTACTTTTTAAACTAGACATTTGGCCAGGCACGGTGACTCACGGCTGTAACCCAGCACTTTGGGAGGCCGAGGGGGGTGGATCACCTGAAGTCAGGAGTTCCACATCAGCCTGGCCAACGTGGTAAAACCCCGTCTCTACTAAAAATACGAAATTAGCCAGGCGTTGTGGTTTATGCCTGTAATCCCAGCTACTCGGGAGGCTGAGGCAGCAGAATTGCTGCTCAGAATGAGCTGAGATCACACCATTGCACTCCAGCCTGGGCAACAAGAACAAAACTCCATGTCAACAAATATATCTATTTATATATGTTATATTATATTATATTATATTAGTATTATATTACATAATATATATTTATATATTATATGTATTTCTATTATATATTTATATGTTATATTATATATATATATATATATATATATTTTTTTTTTTTTTTTTTTTTTTTCCTGAGATGGAGTCTGGCTCTATCACCCAGGCTGGAGTGCAGTGGCATGATCTCGGCTTACTGCAACCTCCGCCTCTCGGGTTCAAGCGATTGTCCTGCCTCAGCCTCCCCAGTAGCTGGGATTACAGGCATGCGCCACCACACCCAGCTAATTTTGTATTTTTAGTAGAGACGGGGTTTCTCCACGTTGGTCAGGCTGGTCTCGAACTCCCGACCTCAAGTGATCTACCTGCCTCAGCCTCCCAAAGTGCTGGGATTACAGGCATGAGCCACCGCACCCAGCCAATAATAATTTTTATGTTTGTAACATTGAAATAGTTATATTTTAGATATAATGGATTACGTAAAACAAAATTAATTCCACCAATTACTTTTTTTTGATATTGCTTCTTTTTTGAGACAGGGTCTGGCTCTGTCAACCAGGCTGGAGTGCAGTGGCTTGATTTCAGCTCACTGGAACTTCTGCCTCCCAGGCTCAAGCCATCCTCCCACCTCAGCCTCCTGAGTAGCTGGGACTACAGGTGCATGCCACCATACCTGGCTAATTTTTGTATTTTTTTGTAGAAGTGGAGTCTCACTTTGTTGTCTAGTCTTGTCTCAAACTGCTGATTTCAAGTGATCTGCTGCTCACCTCGGCCTTCCAAAGTGCTGGGATTATAGGAGTAAGCCACCGAGCCTGGCCAATGTGGATATTAGGGAATTTAGAATTACATATGTGGCTTGTATTTCTGTTGGACGACACTGGCCTACATTGTAGGTGACATGAGTGAAGAAAACCACTGTTTTCACAGCTTCAAAATGTTGTGACTGGGCACAGTAGCTCTCGTGCCTGTAATCCTGGCACTTTGGGAAGCCAAAGTGGGAAGATCACTAAAGCTCAGGAGTTTGAGACCAGCCTGGGCAACATGGCAAAACTTTGTCTCTACAAAAAATACAAAAATTAGCCAGGCATGGTGGCACCGCCTGTAGTCCCAGCTACTAGGGAGACTGAGGCAGGAGGATTGCTTGAACCTGGGAGGTTGAGGACGCAGTGAGTTGTGATTGCATCACTGCACTTCACCCTGGGTGACAAAGTGAAACCCTGTCTCAAAAAAACAATAAATAAATAAAACATTGCAAACACAGACAACTCACTGTCTAAAGGAAGATCTGAGTTACTGAGACTAGAGTTTTCAATGTTTAGGTTGTAGAAAGGAGAACAAGGAATGCCAATGCAGGTCGACTGGTTATAGGTAAAGGGTGGGCATTGTCAGGGTTTACTGCTTAAAAGTAACTAGTGTCCCATTTAAAGTATGGGCTGACTACACAGTTATTACTGCATGACCCTGCTTTTTGTCTTCAGTGTGTAATACAAGAAGTAGTGAAACCCCATCTCTACTAAAAATACAAAATTAGCCCAGCTTGGTGGCACGTGCCTGTAATCCCAGCTACTTGGGAGGCTGAGGCAGGAGAGTCGCTTGAACCCAGGAGGTGGAGGTTGTGGTGAGCCGACATCACGCCATTGCACTCCAGCCTGGGCAACAAGAGCGAAACTCCGTCTGGAAAAAAAGAAAAAAAAAGTAAACATGAGGCTAGACATGGTGCCACATGCCTATAATCCCAGCACTTTGGAAGGCTGAGGTGGGTGGATGGAGCCCAGGAGTTCAAGACCAGCCTGGGCAATATGGCAAAAGCCTGTCTCTACAAAAAATACAAAAATTAGCCAGATGTGGTGGTGCATGCCTGTATTCCCAGCTACTCGGGAAGCTGAGGTGGGAGGATCACTTCAGCCTGGAAGGTCAAGGCTGCTGTGAGCCAAGATTGTACCACTGCACTCCTGCGTGGGGGACAGAGTGAGATCCTGTCTCAAAAAAAAAAAAAAAAACTTAAAAAGACAAAAAGGTAAACATGATGGTTGAGGAACAAGAAAAGGACAAAATTGATGAGCAAAGTGATTAAATACTAAAATGAAAGGAACAGAAGGGTAGAATTAACAGAAAGCCAACTCAAGAAAATTCAAAAGAAAAAGAAAAAACAAGAATTCTAAGTGTCGGATCCATGAGCCCTTCATACCAGATACAGGAGCCAATGAACCTACCTGAAATTACATTTAAAATAACAAGGAATGTTCATTTATGAGGGGAATGTGGTCAGTAGCTTTCATTAAATTCATAGAGGAGTTCATGTCTTTCCTCCACAACAGGCTTGTAATCATAGCTGCAACAAATAAAACAGTAGGCTTCTAGTCAAAATGGAGTAAGAGGGATCAGATTTAACAGAAACAAGTAAAAATCTGGGGCTGGGTGCAGTGGCTCGTGCCTGTAATCCCAGCACTTTGGGAGGCTAAGGCGGGTGGATCACCTGAAGTCAGGAGTTCAAGACCGGCCTGACCAACATGGAGAAACCCCGTCTCTACTAAAAATACAAAATTAGCTGGGCAAGGTGGCGCATGCCTGTAATCCCAGCTACTCAGGAGGCTGAGGCAAGAGAATCACTTGAACCCGGGAGGCGGAGGTTGTGGTGAGCCGAGATCGCACCATTGCACTCCAGTCTAGGTGACAAGAGTGAAGCTCCGTCTCAAAAAAAAAAAAAATTGAATAAGAAATATGAAACAATTAAATTTCAGACAGTAGGACACCAGGCATTCCAGGACGGTGGTTGTTCTCTCAGGTAACCATATGAAGTGAGCCTTACAATTCATCAAACTTAACATCTAAGGAGATTTTCTCAAGCCTCAGTACAGTGGGTAGGAACCTGGGTGGAACACAGGGGAGTCTCCCTGAGTTGAGATGGGATTGGGAATCTACAGCAACCCAAGGAAATAAAGTTTTCAGGGAAGAGTTCTGGAGAGGAGAGAACTGGAGATGTGCAGAGTTTCCGCCTCAAGTCTTCAGAGGGTTGACCAGCACATACATGTGAGGTAACAACCCAGGCAAGGGAAGTAAACATCAAAAAGAAGCAGAATAAACACTTCTTTTCATGCATTTTGCAAAGGACTGGGAAAAGATTTTATTCCTGCCAGCTACAGAGGAAAGACCTCATACCTCAAAAGGGGTCAGATAGAATATTTAAAGGGACATTGCAGGCCGGGTACGGTGGTTCACACCTGTAATCCTAGCACTTTGGGAGGCCAAGGCATGCAGATCACTTGAGCCTGGGAGTTGGAGACCAGCCTGGGCAACATGGTGAAATCCTTTCTCTACAAAAAAATACAAAAATTAGCCAGGTGTGGTGGCATGCACCTGTAGTCACAGCTACTCAGGAGGCTGAGGTGGAAGGATCACCTGAACTCAGGGAAGTCAAGGCTGCAATGATCTGTGATTGTGCCACTGTACTCCAGCCTGGGCAACAGAGTGAGACCCTGTCTGAAAAATAAATAGAAGAACATTGCATTAATAGTGGAAGAAAATTAGTCCTAGACTAAGCTTGCTTTGGTGTTACCTAACAAAGCTTAAATGTGAGTTTTGAGAGAAACTGGGACGAAGCTTAAGAATATTATTATATTATGCAAAAATATCTGGCACCCAACAAGGTGAAATTCAATGTCTGGTATCCAGTTGAAAATTATCAATCATGCAATAAAGCAGAAAAATGCAACCACAATGAGAAAAATACAAACACCTGGAAATGACACATGATAGAATTAATTGACAAGGATATTGAAACTAGTTAAAAGTATATTCTGTATGTTCAAGAAAGTAGAGGAATGCTTGAAACATTGAAAGATTGAAAAGACTGGCATCAGGCTGGGTGCGGTGGCACATGCCTGTAATCCCAGCACTTTGGGAGGCTGAGGCAAGTGGATCACTTGAGGTCAGGAGTTTGAGACCAGCCTTGCCAACATGGTGAAACCCCATCTCTACTAAAAATACAAAAGTTAGGTATGGTGTAGGGGTCGGGGCAGGGGGGCACCTGTAATCCCAGCTACTCGGGAGGCTGAGGCATGAGAATTGCTTGAACCCAGGAGACAGAGGTTGCAGTGAGCCAAGATTGTGCCACTGCACTCCAGCCTGGGTGACACAGTGAGACTTCATTTCAAAAAAAAAAAAGACCAGTATCAAATTTCTGAAAATGCAAACTTTAGTGTGTGATATGAAAAACACACTTGTTAGAATCAACAGCACATTAGAGAGTGTGGAATAAAAGATTAGTAAACTTGAACACATAGCACAGAAGTTATTCAAAATTAAAGAAAAAAGGCTGAAGAAAATGAATAGCATATCAGTAAACTGTGGGAGAACCTCTAGCAGTCTAATTTGTGTGTAATTGGAGTCTCCAAAGGAGAGGGGAGGAGAGAAAAAGGATTTGAAAAAATAATGGCTGAAAAATGTTCAAATTTGATGAAAACTATAAGCCCTTAACAGGTCTAATGGACCTCAAGCACAAGGAAGACAAGGAAAATAATATCATGACACATAACACTTGAAAAATTGTTCAAACCAGAAATTGAGAGGAAATATTAAAGGCAGTAGGAACTAGACATGTTACAGATAGAGAAACCAAAGGATGACAGCATATTTCTCATCAGATACAATGCAGGTGTGAAAACAATGGAGTTACATCTTTAAAGTACTGAAACAAACAAAAAATCAACCTTGAATTCTATACCCAGCCAAAATATCTCTTGAAAACAAAGGTGAGCCAGGTATGGTGGCTCATGCCTGTAATCCCAGCACTTTGGGAGGCTGAGGTGGGCAGATCACAAGGTCAGGAGTTTGAGACCAGCCTGATCAATATGGTGAAACCCTGTCTCTACTAAAAATATAAAAACTTAGCCGGGCATGGTGGCGCATGCCTGTAATCCCAGCTACTCAGGAGGCTGAGGCAGGGGAATTGCTTGAACCTGGAGGCAGAGGTTGCAGTGAGCTGAGATCGCACCACTGCACTCTAGCCTGGGTGACAGAGTGAGACTCCATCTCAAAAAAAAAAAGAAAAGAAAGGTGAAATAAAGACTATTTCAGAAATACAAAAGCTGAAAGAATTCATCACCAGCAGACTTATACTATAAGAAGTATTAAGTCCTTCAGGGACAAGGAAAAAGGTACCAGATAGAAGTCTGGATCTACAAAAAAAAATGAAGAACAAGAAGCTTTTTTTTTTTTTTTTTTTTTTTTTTTGGTAAAACAGTTACTGCTTAAAGGAAAAAGTACTACAATTAATCATGGGATTTCTTTTACATATATATATAGAGAGAGAAGTAAAATACATGACCACAATAGAATAAGGCCAAGATGGGGGAAGTGAAATCATACTGCTGTAAGATTTTTTTTTTTTTTTTTGGAGAGATGGGGTCTTACCATGTTGCCCAGGCTACTCTCAAGCTCCTGGCCTCAAGAAAGCCTCCCACATCAGCCTCTCAAAGTGCTGGAATTTCAGACATGAGTTACTGCACCTGGCATGCTGTAAGATTTTCACCTTGTACATGATAAATCCTGAAGTAATCACAAGAAAAATAGAAAAGCTAATAAGTCAACCAAGGAGATTTAATGGAGTCATTAAAAATTCTTAGTCTAAGCCAGGTGCGGTGGCTCATGCCTATAATTCCAGCACTTTTGGAAGCCGAGGTGGGTGGATCATCTGAGGTCAGGAGTTTGAGACCAGCCTGGCCAACATGATGAAACCCCATCTCTACTAAAAATACAAAAAATAGCTGGGTATGGTGGCACACGCCTGTAATCCCAGCTACTCGGGAGGCTGAGGCAGGAGAATTGCTTGAACCCAGGAGACAGAGGTTGCAGTGAGCCAAGATTGTGCCACTGCACTCCAGCCTGGGTGACAGAGTGAGACTCTCCAAAACACACACACACACACACACACACACACACACAGTCTCTTCAATCTAAAAGACTGAAAAGAAGGCAAGGAAAAAGGAAAAAAAGCTGGGACAAACAAGACAAACAGCAAGGTGGTACATTTAAAACCGACCTTTTCAATAGTTATACTCAGAATTGTCCCAACACCCCAATTAGCATCACAGACCCTACCGCATGCTGCTTGCAAGACAACCACTCTAAATATAAAGACAATCGGTTAAATGCAAATGGATATTAAATGATATGCCTGTAATAAAAAGAAATCTGATGAAACTATATTAGTATCAGACAAAGTAGATCTCAGAACATAGCATATTGCCAGGGAAAAGGGGATATTTTATGAGATCATAGGGTCAATTCAATAAGAAGTCATAACAATTCTACATGTTCATTTGCCTAAATGACAGCTTCAAAATACATAAAGAAAAACCTGATGGAACTGTGAGGAAAAACAGTTTTCACAATTACAGTCAGATTTTAGCACCTCTCAATAATTGCTAAGTAGAAAATTAATAAGAATGTAAAAGACTTGAACCACATTATCAACCAACTTGATGTAACAGATATTTACAGAGTACCTAGCAGCAAAAATAAATTATATTAAAAATGCGGGTGCAGCACACCAGCATGGCACATGTATACATATGTAACTAACCGGCACATTGTGCACATGTACCCTAAAACTTAAAGTATAATAATAATAAAAAAAATTATATTAAAAATGCTTCTTAAAATAGGGGATTTGATAAACATTTTTAAAAATAAAAACTATACAGCACTCAGCATCAACAGAAAACTTTTTTTCAAGTGCACAAGGGACTTTATCAAGATAGGCTAAGTTCTGGGCAGCAAGTATCAATGCATTTAAAAGGATTAAAATCATTCAAAGTGTGACCTCATAGCCAGGCGCAGTGGCGTACACCTGTAATCCCAGCACTTTGGGAGGTCAAGGCGGGTGGATCACCTGAGGTCAGGAGTTCACGACCAGCCTGACTAACATGGTGAAACTAAATACAAAAAAATTAGCGGGGCGTGGTGGCACATGCCTGTAATCCGAGCTACTTGGGAGGCTGAGACAGGAAGAATCACTCGAACCCGGGAGGTGGAGGTTGCGATGAGCCAAGATTGCGCCATTGCACTCCAGCCTGGGCAACAAGAACGAAACTCCATCTCAAAAAAAAAAAAAAAAAAAAAAAAAATCATTCAACGTGTGACCTCAATAAAGTTAGAAATAACCAATCTCTGGGAAATTAACAAATATTTAGAAACTAAATAATATCCTTCTATGCAGTCCATGTACCAACAAAGAAACCAAAAGGGAAGTTGGGACTCATTTTGAACTGAATGAAAAATGAAAGCACACATATCAAAATTTGTAGGATATAGTTAAAGCATGATTCAGAGCGAAATTTGTAGCATAAATACATACATTTGAAAAGAAGGAAGATCTTAAATCAATGACCTCAGCTTCTACCTTAAGAAACTAGAAAATAAAGAGCAAATAAATCACGCCTGTAATCCCAGCACTTTGGGAGGCAGAGGAGGGCGGATCACGAGGTCAGAAGATCGAGACCACGGTGAAACCCCATCTCTACTAAAAATACAAAAAATCAGCTGGGCGTGGTGGCAGGTGCCTGTAGTCCCAGCTACTAGGGAGGCTGAGGCAGGAGAATGGCGTGAACCCGGGAGGCGGAGCTTGCAGTGAGCCGAGATTGTGCCTCTGCACTCCAGCCTGGGCAACAGCGCGACTCCGTCTCAAAAAAAAAAAAAAAAAAGCAAATAAAGTAAGCAGAAAAAAGGAAATAATAAAAGATGAGGGTGGAAATCAATGAGGTATAAAACAAAAGTAATAAAGAAACTCAGTAGAAACGAAAGGGCTTTTTTAAATTAGAAGATCAATGACATTGATAAACCTCTGGCAGGATTGATCAGGAAAAAATAGAGGTGACACAAATTACATGAGAGAAGTGACATAACTACAGATATTACGTATATTAAGAGGCAATAAGGCAATATTATGAACAATTTTATGCCAATAAATCAGACAATTTAGAAGAAATACCTTGAAAGACAAACTTACCAAAATTTACTCAAGAGGAAATAGTTAACTTCAATAGCTATATAACTTATAAATAATTTGGATTTGTAGCTAGAAACCCCACAAAGACAACACCAGGCCCAGATAGCTTTATTATTATATTCTACCATACATTTAAGGAAGAAAAGCAAATACAAATTCCCCACAAAGTCTTGCTGACAGTTAAAGAGAACAGAACATTCCCCAACTCACTCTAGGCCAATCAATGCAATTTTCCACATTAACAGCATATAAAAGAAAAAAACAACAACTATGATCTCAACACTTAGAAAACATAAGTAAACTCTCAGCAAATTAAGGTTAGTTATTTATGAAAAACCTACATCGATATCGTGTTAAATGTTGAAAGATTTAATGCTTTCCCTGTACAATCAGGAAGAAGGCAATGATGTCTGCTCTCACCTATTCAGTGTTATACTGAGTGATTTAACTGCTGCAATGATGAAACAAGAAAAAGAAGCCAAGATAAAGTAAGTAATAGGAAATGGATTTACCCTTTTGACTGAAACAACTGGAAAACTAGACTAAGTACATGAAACAATGGTTTTTAAGATATTGGACATTAGGCTACTGAGTACAGTGAACCCTGATGAATGGGAAAGAAACAGAGCTCTACAATTGGCCCAGCTTACTGCCTGAAAATACTTGCTAGAATGAAGGGAGTGGGAACCTAGGTGTAACCTAAACATCTCCCTGCATTGAAGGGATGGAACTGGATTACTGGGAGGCCATGGCAACTAGAGTTCTCAGGGTAGCGTGTCAAATAGGAGAGATGCATACAAAGGCAGGACTCAAGACCAGTTGAGCACATTCTTCTAAAGAAAAAAAAATTAAGGCTAGGTGCAGTGGCTTACGCCTGTAATCCCAGCACTTTGGGAGGCCGATGTGGGTGGATCACCTGAGCTCAGGAGTTAAAGACCAGCCTGGCCAACATGGTGAAACATCTCTACTAATACAAAAATTACCCGGGCGTGGTGGCACGCGCCAGTAGTCCCAGCTACTTGCGAGGCTGAGGCAGAAGAATTGCTTGAACCCAGGAGGCGGAGTTTGCAGTAAGCCGAGATTGCTCCATTGCACTTCAGCCTGGGTGATAGAGTGAGATTCTATCTCAAAAAAAAAAAAAAAAAGAAAGAAAAAAAATTTTAAATTTAGAAATAAGCAAAAGAAAGTATAGCCTGTCTTTTCAATGTCTTACTAGAGCACTGTTTAACAGGCCCATCCGAAGATTGTTGACTTCTTTAGAATGTGTGTTTGACTTTACTATTTACCATCTGTTAAAGCCCAAATCTGTGAAGTTAAATGTTAACTTTTAGATTTCTGTCCAGTGGAAAAGATAACCCCAAAGGTTATAGTTTTATTGCCCTGGAACTCATTTACCAGTTTTGTATCTAACCTAGCAATCTTAATCCAGCATTCTTTTTAAAAATAACATGTCTATAAATATAAACTTCCTCCAATACTCTTGGAACTACTTTCATTAGTTTTGTGGTCCTATCATTAATAAGTTAATGTATTTTTGACATGGGTTCATTCTATTATTTCTGTAAAAGACATATTTTAAACCTTTTAAATATTATACTTTGTTATGGAAGTTCCAAATGGACACTTACCTGAAACAATTAAGGAGTTTTGCCCTTGAAGTGCGCCTTATAGAATATTTAAGCACAGGCATACCATTTTATTGGTCCCTGGAATGAATCCCAGGTAGAAATATAACTTTAGTCTCCATCTCTTTCTTTATTCCTACCCTGTGTTGTTATTTTTGTTTTTGGTTCTTGGCTAAACTTGGTTCTATTTCTGATTTGCAGACAGTTTACAAGCTGTTCTCAATTGATCATAGTGAGAGGTGACAGCGTGCTGGCAAGCCCTCGCAGCCCTCGCTCGCTCTCGGTGCCTTCTAGGCCTCAGCGCCCATTCTGGCCGTGCTTGAGGAGCCCTTCAGCCCGCCGCTGCACCGTGGGAGCCCTTCTCTGGGCTGGCCGAGGCCGGAGCCGGTTCCCTCGGCTTGTGGGGAGGTGTGGAGGGTGAGGCACGGGTGGGAACTGGGGCTGCGTGCAGCGCTTGCAGGCCAGCTAGAGTTCCGGGTGGGCGTGGGCTTGGCGGGCCCTGCACTCGGAGCGGCCGGCCGCCCCGCCGGCCCTGAGCACTGAGGAGCTTAGCACCCGGGCCAGCAGCTGCGAAGGGTGAGCTGGGTCCCCCAGCAGTGCTGGCCACCGGCGCTGTGCTCGATTTCTCGCCGGGCCTTAGCTGCCTCCCCAGCAGGGCTCGGACCTGCAGCCCGCCATGCCTGAACTTCCCCATCCCCCTCCACCCGCCGTGGGCTCCTGCACGGCCTGAGCCTCCCCGAGGAGTGCCGCCCCCTGCTCCACGGCGCCTGATCCCATCGACCACCCAAGGGCTGAGGAGTGCGGGCGCACGGGACGAGAAGGGCAGGCAGCTCCACCTGTGGCCCCAGTGGGGTAACCACTTGGTGAAGCCAGCTGGGCTCCTGAGTCTGGTGGGGACTTGGAGAACATTTATGTCTACCTAAGGGATTGTAAATACACCAATCAGCACTCTCTCTAGCTCAAGGTTTGTAAACACACCAATCAGCACCCTGTGTCTGGCTCACAGTTTGGGGATGCACCAATTGGCACTCTGTATCTAGCTAATCTGGTGGGGACTTGGAGAATCTTTATGTCTAGCTCAGGGATTGTAAACACACCAATCAGCACCCTGTCAAAACGGACCAATCAGCTCTCTGTAAAACAGACCAATTGGCTCTCTGTAAAATGGACCAATCAGCAGGACGTGGGTGGGGCCAGATAAGAATAAAGGCAGGCTGCCTAGCTAGCGTGGCAACCCATTGGGGTCCTCCTTCACGTTGTGGTGCTTTTGTTCTTTTGCTCTTTGCAATAAATCTTGTTGCTGCTCACTGTTTGGGTACATGCTCCCTTTATGAGCTATAACGCTCACCGCAAAGGTCTGCGGCTTCACTCCTGAGCCAGCGAGACCACGAATCGACTAGAAGGAAAAAATTCTGAACACATTGGAACACCAGAAGGAACAAACTCTGGACACGTAGCCTTTAAGAACTGTAACACTTACTGCGAGGGTCCGTGGCCTCATTCTTGAGGTCACTGAGACGAAGAACCCACCAATTCGGGACACAATAGCAACAATTGGGGGTCTGATATTATGGTCTGCCCATTTGGTTACAGATGTCAACGTGATGGGAGTTTAAATACTCTGTTAGCTAAAAGATGATAGAATATGTTTTGTGACTCTTTTTCTTTTTGTGAAACTTCGCCTATTTGTTAGTTCAAGTCAAATAAGAAAATGTTTTGTGGCCGGACGCCGGTGGGTCACGCCTATAATCCCAGCACTTTGGGAAGACGAGGCAGGCGGATCACAAGTTCAAGAGATTGAGACCATCCTGGGCAACATTGTGAAACCCCGTCTCTACTAAAAGTACAAAAATTAGCCGGCTGTGGTGGCGCACACCTGTAGTCCTAGCTACTCGGGATGGTGAGGCAGGAGAATCACTTGAACCCGGGAGGTGGAGGTTGCGGTGAGCGAAGATTGCGCCACTGCATTCCAGCCTGGGCAACAGTGCGAGACTGTCAACAAAAAAGAAAAAAAAATTGTGCACACTGGACAGGAAAATCTATTTGAGATCAGAACTAGTGAGATTTTATATTCTGTGTTTACTTTGATCCATGACTGAAGTTGTAGAACTGAAGCTGCAAACTCGGAGTCTGTGTGTATGAAAAAATTCTTCATCTCTCATTGTAGGAATTTGTCATCTTTTCCTATCTCTGAGTATGTTAATTACACTCTTCATTGACACAGTACAAAGTTATCACACTTGATAATTCCTTTTTGTCACTTCTGATGCCTTTAAGGTTATTATGTGTGTGGGTATGTATGTGGCTATGTATGTGTATGTTTGTGTTTGGTGTATAGCTACTATTTTCAGTGGGAGGGGTTACGATTGCCAGGTAAATACAGGACACCAATTAAATCTGGATTTCAGTAAACAATTATTTTTTAACATAAGTATGTCTGAAATTCAAATTTATATGGGGGTCCTGTATTTTTTCAAAATTTTTTTTTTTTTTTGAGACGGAGTTTCACTCTTGTTGCCCAGGCTGGACTGCAGTGGTGCGATCTTGGCTCACTGCAACCTCTGCCTCCTGGATTCAAGCGATTCTCCTGCCTCAGCCTCCCGAGTAACTGGGATTATAGGCACCTGCCACCATGCCCGGCTAATTTTGTACTTTTAGTAGAGATAGGGTTTCTCCATGTTGGTCAGGCTGGTTTCGAACTCCCAACTTCAGGTGATCCGGCTGCCTCAGCCTCTCAAAGTGCTGGGATTACAGGTGTGAGCCACCGCGCCTGGCCAAATTCTTTAATTGTAATAAGGTATACGTAACGTAAAATGTACTGTCTTAACCATTTTTATGTATACAGTTCAGCAGTGTTAAATGCATTTATAATGTTGTGCATCTTCATAATTCTTTTCATCTTGTAAAATTGAAACTCTGTACCCTTTAAACAACTTCCCATTCTTCTCTCCCCTTCACCCTTTGGCAAACACCATTCTACTTTCTGTCTGTGTGATTTTGACTACTCTGCCTCAAATAAGTAGAATCATACAGCATTTGTCTTTATGTGACTGACATTTCACTTAGGATAATGTTCTCAGGTTCATTCATTTTGTAGCATGTCAGAATTTCCTTTCTTTTTAAGGCTGTGTAATATTTCACTGTATGTATATACCACATTGTGTTTATCCATTCCTCTGTCAGTAGACATTTGGGGTTGCTTCTGTGTTTTAGATAGTATGAATAATGCTGCTATGAACATGGGTGTGCAGATGTCTCTTTGAGACCTGCTTTCAATTATTTTGAATACACCCCAAGTAGAATTGCTATGGTAATTTTTTTTTTTTTTTTGAGAAACCACCACAATTTTTTTTGTAGTGGCTGCACCATTTTACACAGCCACCTTGGCTGATTTTTATTTGTATCTTTTCTCTGTAAGAAACCGTAACCATGAACATAATACCTTTCAGTGAGCTCTGTGAGTCTTGTGAATTATCAAAGAAGGTAGTTTTTGGACCCCTCCAAATTTGTAGTTTGTATCAGAAGTGAGGATAGTCTTGTGGGAACTGTTCCCTCAAACTTTGTAGTTTGGTTAACTCTAGGTAGAATATATCTGTACTTTGTATTTTTATTTTTCCACCCCAACATGATGTGCAAAAATATATCTACTATAGCATACTACTAGATATAGTAAATATATCTAGTTTTAATGTGAAGGTTGTTGAATTTTATTATCGTGCATTTTCAAACTTCTATTGAAATGATTAATAAGTTTACCTCAACTGATGTTGTGTTTTTTTTTTCATTAGTTATCATTAGTTTATTATAAAAGAGAAATATGGAAATTATTTACATGATGAAAGATTTCAGAACTTCAGTGGAATGGGCAGTTTCACGTTGATGCCATTTCAATAGTGACTTATTTCAGCCTACGTACTTTCCAAGAATGTCACCATCTCTAAACAGGAAATAATCCTTGTCATCTAGAACTACTTTGGTGCCTCCATATTCTGGGAGAAGAACTTTATCTTCAACTTTCACTCTAACTGGTTGAATCTCTCCACCCTTTCCTTTAGAACACGATCCAACAGCGACTACTGTTGCTTGCAATACTTTTCCTTGAAGCATAATGCCTCCTTTGGTTACAGTTTCAGCAGTACTCCTTTCAACCAATACTTGGTCAAAGAGTGGAAGAAACTTTCTAAACGCTTGTCCTTCCTGCCATGACTCCCTCCGCCTCAGACTCATACTCCGCTCTCTTGTTTTTATAGTCATCTGTCATCAGGAGTGGAGCCAGGCTTTGTAGGACCTGAAGCTCATGTAATTTGGGGACTCTTTTTGTTAAAAAAAAAAAAAAAGAAAGAAAAAAGTGAAAATATAAATTTATAAAATCATAAGTACAAAATTATGCACAGAAGTAACTTTTCATTTAGAGTGAAAAAAGAAATCATAACAAATTAAAAAAATTTTAAATCAAGAACACAAATTATAAAATCCAGAAAAACAACATAATATTTTTATTGATTACCTGACTCACCTCTGTGATACTTTTCTTCCTGCAACTCTGATTGCTTCATCATATGACAATATTTTGTAGTATTTTTTCCTTTCTTTCTTTTTTTTTTTTTTTTTGAGACAAGGTTTCACTCTGTCTCCCGGGCTAGAGTGCAATGGCACCATCACAGCTCATTGCAGCCTTGACCTCCCGGGCTCAAGTGATTCTCCCGCCTCAGCCTCCCAAGTAGCTGGGACTGCAGATGCACACCACCAAGCCCAGCTGATTTTTGTATTTTTTGTAGAGGTGGGATCATGCCATGTTGCCCAGACTGGTCTTGAACTACTGAGCTCAAGCAATCCACCTACGCTGGCCTCCCAAAGTGCTGGGATTACAGATGTGAGTCACCGTGCCTGGTCAAGATTTTGTAGTATTTTCTCTTACACGAATAGAAAGATAAATCAATCTTTTCTCTCTTCTTCTTTGAAATTTATTTTCATTACTGATTGTTTAGAAAAGTTTCTTTCATCTTTACAACTTCCTTTTGGTAACACCATGTAATTTCTTAAGATTGTTGTCAAATTTGGTAAAACGTCTACCAAGTTTCTTTCATATATAAACTTTAAGATTTCAAAGTGTTCGGCTGGGCACGGTGGCTCATGCCTGTAATCCCAGGACTTCGGGAGGCTGAGGCGGGTGGATCACGAGGTCAGGAGTTCAAGACCAGCCTGGCCAAGATGGTGAAACCCCATCACTACTAAAACTACAAAAATTAGCCAGGCACAGTGTCAGGTGCCTGTAATCCCAGCTACCGGGAGGCTGAGGCAGAAGAATCACTTGAACCTGGGCGGCAGAGGTTGCAGTGAGCCGAGATCGCGCCACTACACTCTAGCCTGGGTGACAGAGTGAGACTCTGTCTCAGAAAAATAAAAATAAAAAAAGATTTCAGGGTGTTCAAATTTTCTTGTGCAATGACTAATCTCAAATATACTTTGCATTAATAACTCACTAATTTGTCATAGATGTCTTATTTTAGTGAGTACTATGTTGTTATAGTTAACTAAGCGAGAGACTTAAATCTATTTCCAATATGTTTATATGATTCATTTATCTTCATTTATTGGATTTTTTTTTTTAAGAGAGAGTCTCACTGTGTTGCCCCGGCTGGAGTGCAGTACTGTGGCTCACCACAGCCTCCACCTCCCAGATAAAGGTTCTGGCAGATTCAGTTTCTGGTGAGGCGCTCTTCCTAGCTTGCAGATAGCTGTTGCCCCTGTGTACTCACATGGCTTCTCTTCTGTGTTCATGAAGAGAAAGAGATGTCTAGTTTCTTTTCCTCTTATTTATTATTATTATTTTTTGAGACAAAGTCTCGCTCTTGTCCTCCAGGCTGGAGTGCAATGGCGCGATCTCGGCTCACTGCAACCTCCGTCTCCCAGGTTCAAGCGATTCTCCTGCCTCAGCCTCCTGGGTAGCTGCGATTACAGGTGCCTGCCACCATGCCTGGCTAATTTTTGTATTTTTAGTAGAAATGGGGTTTCACCACATTGGCCAGGCTGGCCTTGAACTCCTGACCTCAGGTGATCCACCCGCCTCGGCCTCCCAAAGTGCTGGGATTACAGGCGTGAGCCACTGTGCCCGGCTGAGCAAACCACACCCGGCGTCTTTTCCTCTTATAGGGACACCAGTCCTGTTGGATTTGGGCCCCACTCTTATGATCTCATTTAACCTTAAAAGCCCTATCTCCAAATATAGTCACATTGGTTAGGGCTTCAATATATAAATTTCAGTGGTGGCTGGGGAGGGGAGTAGGGAGAGGTGGTGTGCTGGGAAACACAATTCAGTCCATAACAGTAAGCATTTTAAGCTTAGCATATTACTCACTAAACAAAATCACGGTTCTGTTCCTATAAAAGACTGTTGGTGCCTGGCCCATCCTCCTGCCTCAGCCTCCCAAAGTGCTGGGATTACTGGTGTGAGCCACCACGCCTGGCCTCCTGCTGGTTCCTGGTCATGGTGCTTTGTTTCCTGGTGGTTTTGTGATTTTTTTTTTGTTTTGCTTTGTTGCTGTACTGACTTTTTAAAAAACATTTTCTTTAGAAATTCCTTGAGGCGTGGGATAGATGAGTTCCTCCAAAGGGATATGCTTCTTTTGAGCATCTGAGGGCATCATTGTACTAGGACTATTTTAATCCTAATTCTTGGTTTATGATTTTTTTTTTCTAATATGCGTTAGGTTATACGTGTTTCTGCTGCAAACCTGCATTAGGGCTTGCTTGTGGTTACAGGTTCTTGGAGGAGATAATCTCCCTTTCCTGACTTAGCACCGAATTTTGAGATGAGCAATTATTGCTGTAGTCATCTGGTGGTGATAATTGTGGTGGAGAAATGGATGATTTCTAATGTGCCTTACACTGAGAGAGTAACTCTTTGGGACCCAGTTTTATAGGGGGAAGAGGGAATCTCCTTTTAGATTCCCTATTTTAGATGGGTTTGGGCTTTGATTTCCAACCCACCTGCTGCACAGTACTATTAAACTTGAACCTGAGTTCTTCCAGTTTTGGTAGGTATCCTCTAGATTTCACTTCATTCTTACTTTAATGTATTATATTTCATTGTTTGAAATATTTTTTTCACATTTTAACATCTTTGAAATCAGTGTGTATCTTAAATTGTCTATAATCACTGTCAGCCAGTCAGCCATTACATAAATGTCATTGTTTATGCATGTATGAATATCAAAATTGCAGCATCAAAAATTGCAGAAGGAATGTCAGTGGCTTGGAAGAAAATCTTGAGACTAATAGTGGAGCATTCTTTTAACCCCGAGGCATCGAATGTTAGTGGAGAGGGGATAGCACAGTGAGTCAGACATTTCAGCAACACTCCTAAAATATGAGTCAGAAGTAGGTTAGTGCTACATAATAGCAAAGTCAGGCTTAAGAGCCCAGCATTAATTTTTTTTCATTATGTTAAGGATTGTTTTTTGAAATAATACATTTGTAATGTTCTTGATGGCACAGACAATTGTGTGGAAGAGTCAGATTAAATGTGAGGTAGTTTTAAGCACACCTTAAGCAATTTTTTCACTTACCTTTTAATATATGCTCAAAAGTAATATATGATTAAAAATAAGCTGGATCAGCCTGATGTGGTGGCTCATGCCTGTAATCTCAGCACTTTGGGAGGTTGAGGCAGGAGGATCTCTTGAGCCCAGGAGTTCAAGACCAGCTTGGGCAACATAGCAAGACCCTGTCACTACTAAAGTAAAAAAATTGGCCAGGCACGGTGGCTCACGCCTGTAATCCCAGCACCTTGGGAGGCCGAGGCAGGCCAATCACCTGAGGTCAGGAGTTTGAGACCAGTCTGACCAACATGGAGAAACCCCGTCTCTTCTAAAAATACAAAATTAGCCGAATGTGGTGGCGTATGCCTGTAATCCCAGCTACTCAGGAGGCTGAGGCTGGAGGACTGCTTGAGCCCAGGAGGTCCAGCCTGCAGTGAGCCATGATCACACCACTGCACTCCAGCCTGGGCAACAGAGTGAGACCCTGTCACAAAAAAATAAAATTACAAAAATAAGCTGGGTGCAGTAGCATTTGTCTACAGTCTCAGCTACTCAGGAGGCAGAGGCAGGAGGATTGCTTGAGGACTTCAGAAGTCTTGGGTAACATAGGAAGATCTTATCTTTAAATAAGTAAATAAATAAAAATGAAGGAAAAAATAGATGATTAGCCTACAAGATCTTCCATAAGTGTAAAATAAGTTACAAGAAAAAAGTTATAAGAAAGCATTATGTCATAGTTTGATTACATTTGTTTTCTTTCTTAGTAGTAAAGTAATGGCATATCTTTCAACCAACGATGCCTTAGATGTATAATACATTAAGTCATCTTTACTTTCTTTTTTTTTTCCTTTTTTTTTTTTGAGACAGAGTCTTGCTCTGTTGCCCAGGCTGGAGTGCAGTGACGCCATCTCGGCTCACTGCAAGCTCCGCCTCCCGGCTTCACGCCATTCTCCTGCCTCAGCCTCCCGAGTGGCTGGGACCACAGGAGCCCACCACCACGCCTGGCTAATTTTTTGTATTCTTAGTAGAGATGGCATTTCACCGTGTTAGCCAGGATGGTCTTGATTTCCTGACCTTGTGATCCGCCTGCCTCGGCCTCCCAAATTGCTGGGATTACAGGCATGAGCCACCACGTCCAGCTGTAATCTTTACTTTCTTGTCAGCTTTTGAATGCATTTAAGACTTTTTAAAATCCAGTAATTTTAGTTGATTTTACCAGGTGGTTCAGTCCTGTAGTATCTAGTCTACTATACTAAACAGAAATATTTTTGTAGTACTTTTATAATCAGAAAACATAATATTTCCAAAAAATTGTCTGGTTTAGAAGTGGTCTTTCAGGAGAAAAGAGTAAGACCTATAGTAAGAAAAAACAAGTTTTTTTTCTTTGGGATGGGAACATTTTTAGCATGTTTGTGTATTATTTGTGTGTTAATGTTTCTAATATTTTGTGTATCTCTTCTCTGTTCTTAATTAGATTTTCTGGAGGCTCGTATATTTCTTTTTTTGGAGACAGAGTCTCACCCTATCCCCCAGGCTGGAGTGCAGTGGCGTGATCTCTGCTCACTGCAACCTCCACCTGCGGGGTTCAAGCAATTCTCCTGCCTCAGCCTCCCAAGTAGCTGGGATTATAGGTGCCTGCCACCATGCCCAGTTAATTTTTGTATTTTTAGTAGAAACAGGGTGTCACCATGTTGGTCTGGCTGGTCTCAAACTCCCGACTTCAGATGATCCACCCGCCTCGGCCTCCCAAAGTGCTGGCATTACAGGTATGCATCACCACGCCCGGCCTGTCATTGCTTTTTATATAATAATTTTTCTTACTCAAAAAGTAATATAACATTTAAAACTGTGTATTTTCTTTCAAATACTGCTTTGACTTCATCACAAAGATTTAGATAGGTTGGTATTTTCATTATTATTTTTAAATGGCTAACTAATAATACTTCCTAACATTTGTCATACACTTTTATATAGCCTACCAAGCACTCTTTTTTTGTACTTTCCTTTTCTGTCTTCTTTTTTGTCCAAGTTCTCATCTGTGGGGTACTTGTTTATTTTACAGGTTATTGACGACTATTCCTAAGAAAACATTTATGCCATTAATGTTTAATTGTGTTTGTCCATTTTTTTAGTGTCTTTTTTGTTTAAAATAGAGAAGGTGTCTTGCTTTGCTGCCCAGGCTTGTCTCAAACTCCTGGCTTTAAGCAATCCTCCTGCCTCGGCCTCCCAAAGTGCTAGGATTATAGGCATGAACCACTGCACCTGGCCTAATATTTAATTGTGGATGGAAAATATAGTCCCAAAAATGTTTTCCTTTATTGTCTTTAATGAGATTTTTCTCTATAACCAGATATGTTTAATTTCTTTTTTTTTTTTTTTTTTTTTGTTTGAGACAGAGTCTCGCTCTGTCGCCCAGGCTGGAGTGCAGTGGCACAATCTCAGCTCACTGCAAGCCTCAGCCTCCCGAGTAACTGGGACAACAGGCACCCGCCACCACACCCGGCTAATTTTTTGTATTTTTAGTAGAGACGGGGTTTCACCATGTTAGCCAGGATGGTCTCAATCTCCTGACCTCGTGATCCTCCCGCCTCAGCCTCCCAAAGTGGTGGGATTACATGCGTGAGCCACTGCGCCTGGCCCGGATATGCTCAATTTCTATACATGAATGTATATAGCCATTATTTGTAGAATATAAAATCTGAAATAATGTTCTATGCTATGAATTATACTGTTTCAGTCCTTCATGCCTTTATACATATTGTCTGCTTAGTCTGTCATGGATATTAGATAATTAAAATTTCCTACTATAATTGTATTTTATATCATTTTCTCATTATAAGCCTACCAGTCTACATTATATATTTAGCTGCTATGTTAGTTCATATCAATTCCTTATTATTGTATTTTCATCTCTTACTATCCTTTATCATATGCAAGAACTCCACCTGCTTTAGTGCTTTTTTTTTTTTCTTTTTCAGCAAAAGAGTCCATTCAGCCTGGACTCTGTTGTCCAGGCTGGAATGTGCTAGTACCATCATAGCTCATTGCAGCCTCAAACTCCTGGGCTCAAGCGATCCTCCCACCTCAGTCTGCTGAGTGACTGGGACTACTGGCACAGGTTACCACATTTGGCTAATTTTTAAATGTTTTATAGGGACAGGGCCTTGCTATGTTACCTAAGCTGGTCTCAAACTCCTGGCTTCAAGTGATCCTCCTGTCTCAGCCTCCCGAAGCGTGGGGATTACAGATGTGAGCTACCGTGCCTGGCCTTTAGTGCTTTTTTGCCTGAAGTTCTAGTTTATCTCACACTAATATTGCTAATCCTGCTTTTCTTTTATATAATGATAGTTTATCTTCTCATTCTCTTATGTTTAGCCTTTCTAAACCATTTGGCTTTTAAGTAGCTATATATTAGTAGCATATTATTTAATTCTTTTTTTTTTTTTTTTTTTTTGAGGCAGAATCTTGCTCTGTCACCCAGGCTGGAGTGCAGTGGCATGATCTCAGCTCACTGCAACCTCCACCTCCTGGGTTCAAGCGATTCTCCTACCTCAGCCTCTCAAGTAGTTGGGACTACAGGTGTGTGCCACCATGCCTGGCTAATTTTTTGTATTTTTAGTAGAGACAGGGTTTCACCATATTGGCCAGGCAGTTCTTGAACTCCTGACCTCAAGTGATCTGCCTGCCTTGGTCTCCCAACGTGCTGGGATTACAGGCATGAGCCACCATGCCTGGCCTAATTAATTGACTTTTTTTTTTTTTTTTTGAGATGGAGTCTTGCTGTGTCGCCCAGGCTGGAGTGCAGTGGTGTGATCTTGGCTCACTGCAACCTCCACCTCCCAGGTTCAAGCGATTCTCAGGCCTCAGCTTCCCGAGTAGCTGGGATTACAGGCACCCGCCACAACACCTGGCAAATTTTTTTTTTTCTTATATTTTTTGTAGAGATGGGGTTTCACTGTGTTGGCCAGGCTCATCTCAAACTCCTGACTTCAAGTGATCCACCCGCCTTGGCCTCCCAAAGTGCTGGGATTACAGGTGTGAGTCACCATGACCAGCCTGATTTTTAAATAATTTATACTCCAGCCAGGAGCGGTAGCTCATGCCTGTAATCCCAGCCCTTTGAAAGGCAGAGGCGGGAGAATAGCTTGAGCCCAGGAGTTGGAGACCAGCCTGGGCGACATGGTAAAACCCTGTCTCTACAAAAAATACAAAAATTAGCCAAGTGTGGTGCTGTGTGCCTGCAGTCCCAGCTACTTGGGAGGCTGAGATGGGAGAATCATCTGGGCCTGGGAAGTCGAGGCTGCAGTGAGCTAAGATCAAGTCACTGCACTTTAGCCTGGGAAACAAGGCGAGACTCTATCTTAAAAAAAAAAAAAAAAAAAAAAAAAGTCCCTTTGCCTCTTAGTAGCAGGATTTAGACTATTTAGAATAATTTTAATTGTTACATTTGGTTTATCTTAGTTTCTATTTTATGCTTTCTCATTATTATTTCTTCAGTTCTGCCTTTCCTATGAGTTTTACTTTGTTTCTGTTATTTTTTAAATCAGTTTGGAAGGGAAACAGTAGCATGAACCACAAACATTTATTATCTCACCCGATTTCTGAAAGTCAGGAATCCAGAAGTGGTTTAACTGGGTGGTTCTGGCATAATGTCTTTCCTGAGGTTGCAATCAAGATGTTGCCTGTTGCTTTAGTCTTCTGAAGATTGGACGGGAGCTGGAAAATATGCTTCCAAGCTCACTTACACGGCTGTTGTCAAAGGACCTTGGCGTCTGTTGTCCGGAGGTCTCATTCCTTACCACACAGGCCTCTCCACAGGACAGCTATGGCATGGCAGGTGGCTTACCCAAGGGCGAATGATCCAAGAGGGAGGGAGAGAGAACAAGATAGAAGCCACAATATCTTTAATAACCCAGTTTCCCAAATGATGTACTGTCACTTTTGCTGTATTCTGTCAGTCATAGAGAACAACCCCAGTACAATATGGGAAGAGATGACGCAAGGATGTCAATGCCAGGTGGTAGGAATCATTGGGAGCTATCTTGAAGGCTGGCTACCTCAATCACCCTATTTTTATTCTGCTGGTGAATATTTTAAGTTCACAAACATCCTTAAGTGTATATTTGCCTACTTATAGCTGCCTGATAAAAAGTAACTTTGGCCATCATAAGGTAAGCAATTTTGTTTATTTTGGCTTATTTTATAACTTTCTTATACTTTCTCATTCTTTATTAATTTAGAGGTTTTATAGTGTCCAAAATCAATCTCTCTTCTACATCTCTTTCTAATATTATATTAATTAAGAAGCCTTACCAACAACTGTAGTTAATATCACTGCATTAATCAGGGTGCTAGCAGAGAAAAAGAACCAGTAGGAGATACAGTTGGCCCTTGAACGACGTAAGTATGAACCGCGTGGGTCCCCTTATACATAGATTTTTTTTCAGTAAATATATTGGAAAAGTTTTTGGAGATTTGGGACAATTTGAATAAACTTACAGCCTAGAAAAACCACGTAGTCAAGAAATATTGAAAAAAGTTAAGAAAAAGATATGTCATGAATGCATACAATGTATAGATAGTCTGTTTTATCATTTGCTATCATAAAATATACACAAATCTATTATAAAGAGTTAAAATTTATCAAAACTGACATTTATACGCTGAATATGGTAACTTTCACAGTTGTGAGCAATGTAAACAGAGGTAAAGATGCATTATTCAATCATAACTGCATAAATTAACTGTTGTACATACTGTGCTGTTCTAATCATGTTTTACCCACCTCCTGTTGCTGTTGTGGTGAGGTCAAGTGTGGTTAGTATCTGTTTAAACCACCACGTGGCTCTAATCATCTCTGCATGAACAGTTCATCTCTCTAGTAAATTGTACATCACAATAAAAAATGATCTCTTGAAGTTCTAGCATATTTTTCATCATGCTTAATGCAACACCATAAACCTTGAATAACACCATGTGTCCCGTACCAAGTGCCACTAGTGACTAGAAGTGCTTCCAAGAAGCAGGAAAAAGTCCTGACATCACAAGGAAAAGCCGAATTGCTTGATGCTTACCATAGATTGAGGGCTGCAGCTGCAGTTGCCTGCCATTACAAGATAAATGAATCCAGCACAAGGACCATTGTAAAAAAAAAAAAAAAAAAGGAAAGAAAATTCACAATGCCATGGCTTTGCTATGCCAGCAGATACAAAAACTGTGCACACTTTGTGAAATACCTTTTTGTCTGGTATTGCAAATGTAGCTTTTTTTTTTTTTTTTTTTTTTTTTTTTGAGACAGAGTCTTGCTCTGTCACCCAGGTTGGAGTGCAGTGACGTGATCTCAGCTCACTGCAACCTCCACTTCCTGGGTTCAAATGATTCTCCTGCCTCGGCCTCCCACATAGCTGGTACTACAGGTGTGTGCCACAATGCCTGGTTATTATTATTTTTTTTTTTTTGTATTTTTATTAGAGAGGGGGTTTCACCATGTTGGCCAGGCTGGTCTCAAACTCTTGATCTGTTGATCCCCATGCCAAGGCCTCCCAAAGTGCTGGGATTACAGGATTACAGGCATGAGTCATTGCACCCGGCCGAAGATGGAGCTTTTATGTGGGTACAGAATTGCTGTAAGAAAGGTATTCCTATAGACTCTAATATGATTTGAGAAAAAGTGAAGTCATTACATGACAACTTAAAGCAAAAGGAAGGTGAAGGATCTAAAGCTGGAGAATTTAATGCCAGCAAAGGATGGTTTAATAATTTTGTTTGTGTGTTTGGGTTGATAATTTTAGGAAGAGGTTGGGCTTAAAAAATATCAAGATGACAAGAGAAACAGCTTCTGCCAACCTAGAAGCCACAGATGAGTTCCCAGATGCTACTGAGAAAATCATTAAGGGGAAAGGATATCTGCCGGAACAGATTTTTAATGCAGACAAATGTGTCCTATTCTGGAAAAAAAAAATTGCCAAGAAAGACATTTATTAGTAAGGAAGAGAAGTGAACACCAGGATTTAAGACAGGAAGGAATAGTCTAACTACTGTTTTGTGCAAATGCAATCAGGTTTATGATCAGAACTGCCCTTATTTATAAAGCTCCTAACCCTCGAGCCTTGAAGGGAAAAGATAAACACAAGCTGTTAGTCTTTTGGTTGCACAACAATAAGGCCTGGAAAATGAGAATCCTTTTTCTGGAGTGATTCCATCAATACTTTGGCCCTTTCTTACCTTACCAGTATGGAACTGCCTTTTAAATTTATTTTGTTATTAGACAACGCCCCTGGCCACCCAGAACCCCATGAATTCAACACCGAAGGTATCAAAGTGGTCTACCTACTCCCAAGCACAAGATTCAGCCTTTAGACTGGGGGGTCATAAGGACCTTCAAGGCTCATTAACACAGTTCTCTATGGAAAGGATTGCCAATGCTATGGAGGAAAACCCTGATGGAGAGAACATCGTGCAAGTCTGGAAGGATTACACCACTGAAGATGCCATTGTTGTTATAGGAAAAGCTGTGAAAGCCATCATGCCTGAAACAATCAATTCCTGCTACAGAAAACTGTCCGGATGTTGTGCATAACTTCACGGGATTTATGACAGAGCCATCCAAGCAAATCATGAAAGGAAGAGATTGTGGATATAGCAAAAAAAAAAAAAAAAAAAAAAAAAAAAAGCGGGGGAGGGGTGAAGAGTTTCGAGATTTGAATCTTAGAGAAATTCAAGAGCTAATTGACACCATATTATAGGAATTAACAAAAGATGACTTAATGGAGAGGCATGCTTCTGAACCAGTGCCAGATATTGAGGAAGAAGAGGTAGAAGAAGCAGTGGCAGAAAACAGACATTAAACAATGGGGCAGAAGGGTCCTGAGTGCTCAAGACTGTTTTTGACTTCTTTTATGATATAGCACTGAAACTAAAGCAAATGGTAGAAGAAGGATTGGTACCATACAGAAACAATTATAGAGGGATGAAAAAGCAAAAAGGTCAGCAATTATGATGTATTTCTTTTTTTTTTTTTTTTGAGATGGAGTCTTGCTCTGTTGCCGGGGCTGGAGTGTAGTGGCGCAATCTCAGCTCACTGCAACCTCCGCCTCCCGAGTTCAAGTGATTCTCCTGACTCAGCCTCCCATGTAGCTGGGACTACAGGTGTGTGCCACCACGCCTGGCTAATTTTTGTACTTTTAGTAGAGACGAGGTTTCACCATGTTGGCCAGGCTGGTCTTGAACTCCTGACCTCAGGTGATCCACCCACCTCAGCCTCCCAAAGTGCTGGGATTACAGATGTGAGCCACCATACCTGGCCTATACCTTTTAAATTGTGTGACTTGATTAAGGTCATATGACTAAAACAGGATCAAGTTAGGATCAAAATTCAAATCTTTGGAAAACAGGACATTTTCTTTTCCACTCTACCATGTGCCTCCACTGTAGAGAAGAAACAGCTGCAAAATCATGGCATTGGATAGGAAATGGGCCACAGAGATTGAAATTGCTTTCTCTCCTTCTTGCCCGCCTGCCTGCCTACCTTACTTTCTCCCTTCCTTATTTCTCTCCTGCCTCCCTTCCATCTTTTCTTACACTTCAATTATAAACTGTTTCAGGCAAACAGAAAACTACAGTGACTACTTTTAAAACAATGTATCCACCACAGAATACTACAGTGACTAATTTAAAAACAACGTATCCACCACTTAGCTCATCAAATCTTAACATTTGGTCATATTTACTTCAGATGTTTTGTTTGTTTATTTTTAAGAAGTTAAACATTTACATATATAGTTGAATCCATTTTGTACCCTTCTGATAAAATCTTTTTCTTTCTCTGTAACCATGTCCGTTATCTTTTTTTTTTTTTTTTTTTTTTTTTTTTGAGACAGAGTCTTGCTCCATCACACAGGCTGGAGTACAGTGGCATGATCTCGGCTCACTGCAACCTCCGCCTCCTAGGTACAAGCGATTCTCCTGCCTCAGCCTCCCGAGTAGCTGGGACTGCAGGTGTCTGCCACCGTACCTGGCTAATTTTGTATTTTTAGTAGAGATGGAGTTTCACCATGTTGGCCAGGATTTTCTTGAACTCCTGACGTTGTGATCCGCCCACCTCGGCTTCTCAAAGTGCTCGGATTACAGGCGTGATCTTAGTATATATTATATTCTTGCATAGTTTAATACATTTGTTATATGCTATAATATATGATTGTGTTCTGCCTGTTTCTAAAGTTTATTTAAATGGTGTCATATTATAAATATTCTGAAAATTGCTTTTTCTATTCAAGATTATTTTTTAATATTTATCCATATTGGTATATGTAACTCTAGCATATTCATCTTAACTATTGACTTTTTTTATTGAACGTGCTTGAATTTATATTCATCTAGTTATCTAGTTATCTACTGATGAACGTTTAGATTATTTCTAATTTTCTCTATTACCACAATGCTGCAAAGAATATTCTTGTACATTTCTTATTGTACATACATGCAATAGTTCTCCAGAATATTTCTACTTAGGAGTAGAATTTTTGGTCATATGTTACATGCATCTTCAACTTTATTAGTTATTGCCAAATCACTCCCCAAAGTGGTTTTACCAGTTTACCTTCTACTAGCAGTGTATAAGTTTCCAATTCTTTATATGCTCACCAATATTTAGTTTTGTAAGACTTTAACTTGATTTTCAGGCCAGGCACAGTGGCTCACGCCTGTAGTTCCAGCACTTTGGGAGGCTGAGGTGGGAGGATTGCTTGGGGCCAGGAGTTCAAGACCAGCCTGGACAACATGGTGAGACCCAGTTGCTACAACAAGTTTAAAAATTAACCAAGTGTGATGACATGCACGTGAAGTCCCAGTTACTGGGGAGGTTGAGGCAGGAGGATTGCTTGAGTCCATAGGTTCGAGGCTGCAGTGAGCTATGATTGTGCCACAAGCATTCCAGCCTTGGTGACAGAGTGAGACCTTGTGCCTAACAATAACAACAACAACAACAACAACAAAAATACGATTTTTAGGCCGGGCATGGTGGCTCAAACCTGTAATCTCAGCACTTTGGGAGGCCAAGGTGGGCAGATCACCTGAGCTCAGGAGTTTGACACCAGCCTGGCCAACATGGTGAAACCCTGCCTGTACTAAAAATACAAAAATTAGCTGGGTGTGGTGGTGCACACCTGTAATCCTAGCTACTCAGGAGACTGAGGCAAGAGAATCACTTAAACCCAGGAGGCGGAGGTTGCAGTGAGTGGAGATCACGCCACTGCACTCCAGCCTGGGCAACAGAGCGAGACTCTGTCTCAAAAAAAAAACAAAAAAACATGATTTTTGATCTGAAGAATACGAATGAAACCTAACTGTTGTTTTAATTTGTATCTCTCTTACTAGTAGAGAGGTAGAGCATCTTTTCTTGTGTTTATTGGCTATTTGAGTTTTCTGTTTTGCAAATTGCTTGTTCATCTCTTTTGCCTGTTTTTTCTCTTAAGTTACTTTTCATTTTCTTATTGATTTGTATGGATTCTTTTTATATCTTAAATATTAATTCTTTGTCAGTTATATTTATTACAATTATATTATCTTAGCCTGTGGCTTGTTTAGCACCTTATTTATGGTGTCTTGTTTTACAGAAGTTTAAATCTGTGACACTGTTAAAATTTTTGGTCTCTTTCCTTAAGGTTTGTTCCCAAGATCATAAAAATATTCTCTAATATTCTCTTCTAAAAATGTTAATATTTTGATTTTGATATTTAAATCTTTATCTACGTTTTTCTTTTTGTACATGATATAAAATAGGGATTTATTATAATTTTTCAATTACGGATTTTTTTTTTTTTTTGAGACCAAGTCTCGCTCAGTCGTCCAGTCTGGAGAGCAGTGGCGCGATCTCGGCTTACTGCAAGCTCCACCTCCCGGATTCACACCATTCTTCTGCCTCAGCCTCCCGAGTAGCTGGGACTACAGGCACCTGCCACTACGCCCAGCTAATTTTTTTGTATTTTTAGTAGAGACGGGGTTTCACCATGTTAGCCAGGATGGTCTTGATCTCCTGACCTCATGATCC
Source organism: Homo sapiens (assembly GCF_000001405.40). Lineage (NCBI taxonomy): Eukaryota > Metazoa > Chordata > Mammalia > Primates > Hominidae > Homo > Homo sapiens. The sequence continues at coordinate 203,918,408 of NC_000001.11, forward strand.
ACCCAATTACAGATTATTGATTATTCTAATATAATGTTTTCAATAATCTATTTTTTTTGCTACAAAATTTGTAATGCCACCTTCATTATGTTTTCATGGGTCTATGCCTAGCTCTCTATTCGACTCACTGGCAGGTTTGACAATTCTTTTTTTTTTTTTTTTTTTAATTATTTTTTTATTGATCATTCTTGGGTGTTTCTCGCAGAGGGGGATTTGGCAGGGTCACAGGACAATAGTGGAGGGAAGGTCAGCAGATAAACAAGTGAACAAAGGTCTCTGGTTTTCCTAGGCAGAGGACCCCACGGCCTTCCGCAGTGTTTGTGTCCCTGGGTACTTGAGATTAGGGAGTGGTGATGACTCTTAACGAGCATGCTGCCTTCAAGCGTCTGTTCAACAAAGCACATCTTGCACCGCCCTTAATCCATTTAACCCTGAGTGGACACAGCACATGTTTCAGAGAGCACAGGGTTGGGGGTAAGGTCACAGATCAACAGGATCCCAAGGCAGAAGAATTTTTCTTAGTACAGAACAAAATGAAAAGTCTCCCATGTCTACCTCTTTCTACACAGACATGGCAACCATCCGATTTCTCAATCTTTTCCCCACCTTTCCCACCTTTCTATTCCACAAAACCGCCATTGTCATCATGGCCCGTTCTCAATGAGCTGTTGGGTACACCTCCCAGACGGGGTGGTGGCCGGGCAGAGGGGCTCCTCACTTCCCAGTAGGGGCGGCCGGGCAGAGGTGCCCCTCATCTCCCGGACGGGGTGGCTGGCCGGGCGGGGGGCTGACCCCCCCACCTCCCTCACGGACGGGGCAGCTGGCCGGGCAGAGGGGCTCCTCACTTCCCAGTAGGGGCGGCCGGGCAGAGGCGCCCCTCACCTCCCCGATGGGGCGGCTGGCCAGGCAGGGGGCTGACCCCCCCCACCTCCCTCCCGGACGGGGCAGCTGGCCGGGCAGAGGGGCTCCTCACTTCCCAGTAGGGGTGGCCGGGCAGAGGCGCCCCTCACCTCCCGGATGGGGCGGCTGGCCAGGCGGGGGGCTGACCCCCCCACCTCCCTCCCGGATGGGGCGGCTGGCCGGGCGGGGGGCTGACCCCCCCACCTCCCTCCCGGATGGGGCGGCTGGCCGGGCGGGGGGCTGATCCCCCCACCTCCCTCACGGATGGGGCGGCTGGCCGGGCAGAGGGGCTCCTCACTTCCCAGTAGGGGCGGCCAGGCAGAGGCGCCCCTCATCTCCCGGACGGGGCGGCTGGCCGGGTGGGAGGCTGTCCCCCCCACCTCCCTCCCGGACGGGGCGGCTGGCCGGGCGGGGGGCTGATCCCCCCACCTCCCTCACGGACGGGGCGGCTGGCCGGGCAGAGGGGCTCCTCACTTCCCAGTAGGGGCGGCCGGGCAGAGGCGCCCCTCACCTCCCGAGTGGCTGGCCGGGCTGGGGGCTGATCCCCCCACCTCCCTCCCGGACGGGGCGGCTGGCCAGGCGGGGGGCTGACCCCCCCATCTCCCTCCCGGACGGGGTGGCTGCCGGGCGGAGACCCTCCTCACTTCCCAGACAGGGTGGCTGCCGGGCGGAGGGGCTCCTCACTTCTCAGACGGGGCGGCTGCTGGGCGGAGGGGCTCCTCACTTCTCAGACGGGGCGGCCAGGGAGAGACGCTCCTCACATCCTGGACGGGGCGACAGGGCAGAGGCGCTCCCCACATCTCAGACGATGGGCGGCCGGGCAGAGAGGCTCCGCACCTCCTAGATGGGATGGCGGTCGGGCAGAGACGCTCCTCACTTTCCAGACTGGGCAGCCAGGCAGAGGGGCTCCTCACATCCCAGACGATGGGCGGCCAGGCAGAGACGCTCCTCACTTCCCAGACGGGGTGGCGGCCGGGCAGAGGCTGCAATCTTGGCACTTTGGGAGGCCAAGGCAGGCTGCTGGGAGGTGGATGTTGTAGCGAGCCGAGATCAGGCCACTGCACTCCAGCCTGGGCACCATTGAGCACTGAGTGAAGGAGACTCCGTCTGCAATCCCGGCACCTCGGGAGGCCGAGGCTGGCAGATCACTCGCGGTTAGGAGCTCACCTGTTTGTCTTTTAATCTCTGCATGAACAGAAAGTATAGGCACAAGCAGAGTTAGGACTTTATGGCACACATAGAGATTCTAGATGAAAGGATCAGAAGATTCATATTTTGAGAGGGCTAAAATATCTACAGTCTTGCTGTCCTATTAAAGTTTAGTGAAACTATATTGCAGATTCGCATTGCTCACTTCTTCCAGTAATCCAGTGATCTAGTAAAGCTTGATTTTGCCATTTGAATCCTCTGATAAATGAAGTCAGCCTCTACCTTGAGGTACTTTTTGGGATCAGGTTTGACAATTCTTAAACCATTACCAGGATGTTAAATATTATGTCTTAGCCATGTGCAGTGGCTCACGCCTGTAATCCCAGCACTTTGGAAGGCCAAGGTGGGTGGATCACTTGAGCTCAGGGTTTGAGACCAGCCTGGGCAACATGACAAAACCCCGTTTCTACAAAAAATACAAAAAAAAAAAAAAGTAGCCAAGCATGATGGTGTGTGCCTGTAGTCCCAGCTGCTCAGGAGGCTGAGGTGGGAGGATCACTTGAGCCCGGGAGGTTGAGGCTGCAGTAAGCTGTGATCACATCAACCTGGGAGACAGAGTGAGACCCTGTCTCAAAAAAAAAAAAAAAAAAAAAAAAAAAAACAACAACAAAAAACAGCAACAAAAAACACTTGTCTTTGTAAGACATCTTGATATCTGGTAGAATAAGTCCCTCTACCTTGTGGTTCCTCTTTAAAATTGTCCAGGCTAATCTTGGTAATTTGATCTTTCAGTTGAATCTTTTAGGTTCTGCAAAACAAACTTACTGGAATTTTTATTGTAATTTCACTGGATTCTTAGATTGATTTGGGCCTGACTTACTTTTTTTTTTTTCTTTTTTTTTTGAGACGGACTCTCACTCTGTCACCCAGGCTGGAGTGCAGTGACACGATCTCAGCTCATTGCAACCTCTGCCTCCCAAGTTCAAATGATTCTCATGCCTCAGCCTCCTGAGTAGCTGAGATTACAGTTGCATAACACCACACCCAGCTAATTTTTGTAGTCTTTTAGAGATAAGGTTTTGCCATGTTGGTCAGGCTGGTCTCAAGCTCCTAGCCTCAAGTGATCTGCCTGCCTCGGCCTCCCAAAGTGCTGGGATTACACATGTGAGCCACTGTGCCCAGACCTGACTTACTTTTTCAAATTAACTTTTAATATTAAGAGTTTTCACACATGAACATAGTATATTTTTAAAATTTTACTTAGTTTTATCTTCTGTATGTCTTAAAATTTTAGAATATTCTCTATAAGGATTTTTGAAGATGCTTTTTCAGTAGCTTTTTCCTAGCCTGATAATAGCAGCAAGTATAGTAGCAGGGAGCTCAGGGATGAATACCCAAAAGAAAAAAGATTCTGAAGAATTAGGGAAGAGAAATTTGACCTGGCGTTGTCCAGTTGTGTATTGATTCTATATATATATATTTTTTTGAGACAGAGTTTCACTCTTATTGCTCAGGCTGGAGTGCAATGGTATGATCTCAGCTCACTGCAACCTCTGCCTCTCGGGTTCAAGTGACTCTCCTGCCTCAGCCTCCCAAGTAGCTGGGATTACAGGCGCCCGCCACCACGCCCAGCTAATTTTGTATTTTTAGTAGAGATGGGGTTTCTCCATGTTGGTCAGGCTGGTCTCAAACTCCTGACCTCAGGTGATCTGCCCCCCTCGGCCTCCCAAAGTGCTGGGATTACAGGCGTGAGCCATCGCGCCCGGTCTGTGAATTACAGGAGTGAGCCACCTAGCCTGGCCTGCATGTATTGATTCTTATGCTGGCTTTGTATTGTGTCAATATAGCTAAGCTGTAACTATATTTCCCATAATTTTCTTTCCTATATATTTCTTGGAATTATCCACAAGAGAAAATTGCATAAGATTTTGAAGGTGGAAATGAAGTAGTAGCCAGTTTTATGCTCTGAAAGTCAGCATAGGGCAGGCGCAGTTATGTAGCTCACGTGTTGTCGGTTATCTACTGGCTCATTTTGCTGGTTTTAGGGCAGGATCCATTTCCCACTGGATCTCCTCTTTCATCTTGTTGAAATCCTATACCAAGTGCATGTACAGCTCTATGTTGAGGAATACCAGCTTATCCTGGAGATAAATCCCATTACCTAGAGTAGAGGGAGTGAGAGAAAGACCCGTACAGTTCCAGTTTGTCCTCATGGATTCTACTTTGTCTGTTGTCTCTCCCACATCTTCCCTTTTCAATAAATGACCTTGCTCACTTCAGGACCAGCAGCAGATGCAGAAGCAATAAATGTGCATAGACTGCTTAACCAGCTCCCATGATTGCATGAGATCTAATCCCTATAATAAATCCCTATAGTAAATTCTATGTTACTCATAGTGGTCTGCTTTCCTGATCAGATCCTAACTGATGTAATTGCCATTTCCCTAAAGGTTCCAGAGGAAACATCTGAAAAATAGAATGAGAATATGATTAATTGCATATAGGCTCTGAGGGAGTGAGAGAATATCTCTGAGAATTCAGGGATAAGACATACTTCTTGCAATAAAATGCACGAAGACTGATGCTGTGGAAACTACAAAGTTCAGTATCAACAGAGAGGAGTCTGAGACATACTTCCATACTACTGCACACAAGCAAAATCAACGAGCAGTAGGCAAAATTAGGAACGTAGGGCTTATTTGGTAATTAGCTTTACTTTTTATTGCTGATTTATTTTAGAAGCCCCTTACTGTAATGTCTGGCACAGTATGCACTTAACAAATGTTTGTAAAATGAATTGAAATTAGACTATCTATCTTGAAAATATTACAAGACTCACCTTTGCTAAAATACTATTAATTAGGCCAAAGAGAAATACTATTGCCCTGTGTTTGAGAGAGATAATAGATAAAGGGATAGTACAATATTGTCTCTTTTTATGGGAAAATATGGACCGGATAATAGAATCCCTGGCTTTTGGAAGAGGAAGTAAGTTTAGTGTAGCCCTCCCATTTTCAAAATGAGTTCAAGAGAAGTTAATTGACTTGCCCAAAGTCACTGGCAAAGTTTGTGTCAGAATCATGTTTATAGGAATATATTCACCCCATTGGTCCATTCACTAAATTATACTCTCTTCCTTGCAAAACAGTTGGGCAAAATATAGTACTGACAAAATCCATCTTAATTTGGTGAGAGATCTCTAAAGGCCAGGCCTTACCTCATTCAACATTTTCTTTAACATCTTGGATAAAGACCTATGAAAAATACAACATTTTCTTTTTTGAAATTTTTATTTTAGGTTTCAGGGGTACATGTGAAGGTTTGTTACATGGGTAAAATTGTGTCACAGGGAGAAATACTTATAACATTTTCTTTTTCTTTTTTTTTTTTTGAGATGGAGTCTCACTCTGTCGCCCAGCCTGGAATGCAATGGCGTGATCTCAATTCACGGCAACCTCTGCCTCCTGGGTTCAAGCAATTCCTCTGCCTCAGCCTCCTGAGAAGCTGGGATTACAGGCACCTGCCACCACGCCCAACTAATTTTTTGTATTTTTAATTGAGATGGGGTTTCACCATGTTGTCCAGGCTGGTCTTGAACTCCTGACCTCAGGTGATCCACCCACCTCGGCCTCCCAAAGTGCTGGGATTACAGGCATGAGCCATCACACCCGGCTTACTTATAACATTTTCAAGTGACATAACCTGTGGTAATTATAACCTATTACATTGACCTAGAGAGTTAGCATTCCAAATCCTAATTAAATAGGCTATATGTTTGGCTGAAAAAAAAAAAGTACAGGGGCATTGGAAAACCCAACATATATATTAAATATATAATAAGCATAGGAAGGGAAAGACTTGGTTTGGTAGCAGTTCATGAGAAAAAAGGCCTGGAGTTTTATAGGAGCCAATGAGTGACACAAACTTTTTTTTTTTTTTGAGGCATGGTGTCGCTCTGTCACCTAGGCTGGAGTGTAGTGGTGCAATCATGGCTCACTGCAGCCTCCACATCCTGGACTCAATCAGTCCTCCCATCTGAGCCTCCTGAGTAGCTGGGACTACAGGTGCACACCACTATGCATGGCTAATTTTTAGAAACTTTAAAAAAATATTTATGGTCAGGCATGATGTCTCACGTCTGTAATTCCAGCAATTTGGGAGGCTGAGGTGGGAAGATTGTTTGAGCCTAGGAGTTTGAGACGAGCCAGGGTAACATGGCAAGGCCCCGTCTCTACAGAAAGTACAGGCCGGGTGTGGTGGCTCACGCCTGTAATCCCAGCACTTTGAGAGGCCGAGGCGGGTGGATTGCTTGAGGTCAGGAGTTCGAGACCAGCCTGACCAAAATGGTGAAACCCCATGTCTACTAAAAATTCAAAAATTAGCCGGGTGTGGTGGCGGGTGCTTGTAATCCCAGCTACTTGGGAGGCTGAGATAGGAGAATCACTTGAACCTGGGAGACAGAGGTTGCACTGAGCTGAGATTGTGCCATTGCACTCCAGCCTGGGCAACAGAGCAAGACTCTGTCTCAAAAAAAAAAGTACAAAAAATTAGCCGGGTGTGGTGGCATGTGCCTGTAGTCCCAGCTACTTGAAAGGCTGAGGTGGGAGATTGAGCCCAGGAGGGAGAGGCTGTAGTGAGCAGTGAAACCCTGTTACAAAAAAAAAAAAAAAAAAAAAAAAAAAGCCAGGCGTGGTGGCTCACGCCTGTAATCCCAGCACTTTGGGAGGCCGAGGCAGGCAGATCACGAGGTCAGGAGATCGAGACCATCCTGGCTAACACGGTGAAACCCTGTCTCTACTAAAAATACAAAAAATTAGCCAGGCATGGTGGTGGGCGCCTGTAGTCCCAGCTACTCAGGAGGCTGAGGCAGGAGAATGGCGTGAACCCGGGAGGTGGAGCTTGCAGTGAGCCAAGATCGTGCCACTGCACTCCACCTGGGTGACAGAGCAAGATTCTGTCTCAAAAACAAAGAAAAAGAAAAAGAAAAGAAAAATGTTTATAAGGTCTTCAGGTGCAAGAAAATGGAGGAAACAAGATGAGTTGAGCATATAGACATGGGTACGATTTGGAGAAAGGCCTGAGAGAAAGCTTCAAGCTATGGGATCTATATCTTTTCCTAGGAAGCAAGAGAAGTGCTAGTAGATAATTTGTTATTATCCCTACTAAACTGAACTTTTCTTATTTCTGGTTATTTCACCTCCCCACCATATAGATGTAGTGTTCTGTTTTTACGTGTGTAAAGTGTATACCACCTTTCCTCACTACTCATCTTAATTCTATCTTTCATTGAAACCTAGCTGAAGTCCTTTTCAGTTTTCAGCCCTGTTCATGATGAACTCTCCCTTCTGAACTTCTCTAGCATTTATTTAGCCTAAATCCTGTGTACTACCTTTTAGCTTGTTACTTTTATTAATGATAATTATGGTGATGATACAGGCAACATTAATGACATATGGCATTGACAATATATATGAGTTATCTGAGAGGCCAGGCACAGTGGCCCATGCCTGTAATCCCAGCACTTTGGGAGGCCAAGGGGGATTGGATCATCTGAGGGCAGGAGTTCAAGACCAGCCTGACTAACATGGTGAAATTCCGTCTCTGCTAAATACAAAAAAATTAGTCAGGGTGATGGTGGGCATCTGTAATCCCAGCTACCCAGGAGGCTGAGACAGGAGAATTGTTTGAATTCGGGAGGCAGAGGTTGCAGTGAGTCGAGATTGCACCACTGCACTCCAGCTTAGGTGACAGTGCGAGACTCCGTCTCAAAAAAAAAAAAAGAATTATCTGAGAATGATGAAACTTTGAGCAAGGTGACTCATTTCTAAGAAGAGATACGATAAAAGCCAACTATAGAAGCTAAAGAATGAAGTGCAGCCATGTATTGCTTAATGATGGGGATACTTTCTGAGAAGTGCATTGTTAGATGATTTTGTTGTTGTATGAACATCATAGAATATACTGGCATAAACCTAGATGGCATGGCCTACTACACATCTAGGCTGTGTGATATAGTTTATTGCTCCTAAGATACAAACCTACAGAATACTGTAGGCAGTTGTAATAGGATGGTATGTATTTGTGTATTTAAATGTATCTAAACATAGGAAAGTACAGTAAAAACATAGTATAAAAGATTAAAAATCGTATAGGGCACTTACCAAGAATGGAGCTTGCAGGATTGGAAGTTGCTCTGGGTGAGTCAGTGAGTGAGTGAGTGGTGAGTGAATGTGAAGGCCTAGGACATTACTGTACACTGCTGTAGACTTTGTAAACACTGCACACTAGGCTGGGCATGGTGGCTCACGCCTGTAATCCCAGCACTTTGGGAGGCTGAGGCAGGTGGATCACCTGAGGTCAGGAGTTCGAGACCAGCCTGGCCAACATGGTGAGACCTTATCGCTACTAAAAATACAAAACTTAGCCGGGTGTGGTGGCTCATACCTGTAGTCCCAGCTACTTGGAAGGCTGAGGCATGAGAATCGCTTGAACTCGGTCGGTGGAGGCTACAGTGAGCCGAGATCATGCCACTGCACTCTAGCCAGACAGAGAGAGTGACAGAGGGAGACTCTGTCTCAAAAAAATAAATAAATAAAAATAAACACTGCACACTTAGTCTACACTAAATGTATTTAAAATTTTTCTTTCTTCAATAATAAATTAACCTTAACCTACTATAACTTTTTTACTTTATAAAATTATTATTATTATTATTTTTCTGACACAGGGTTCCACTTTGTCCCCCAGGCTGGAGTGCAGTGGCGCTATCTCAGGTCACTGTAGCCTCCCAGTTTCATGTGATCCTCCCACCTCAGCCTTCCTAGTAGCTGGGACTATAGGCATGCACCACCATGCCCAGCTAATTTTTGTATTTTTTTGTAGAGACAGGGTTTCACCATGTTGCCCAGGCTGGTCTTGAACTCCTAAGCTCAAGCGATCTGCCTGCCTTGGCCTCCCAAAGTGCTGGGATTATAGGCATGAACCACCACACCCAGCCTGAAAATTTCCTTTTCTTTTTTTTTTTTTTTTACTTTTTGACTCTTTCATATTAACACTTTACTTAAAACACAAACATATTATACACCTACACGAAAAATTTCTTCTTTATATCTTTATTCTATATGCTTTTTTCTATTTAAATGTTTTCTTTTTAAACATTTTTGTTAACAATGAAGACAGAAGCACACATATTGGCCTAGGCCTACACAGGATCGGGGTCATTTGTATCACTGTCTTCCCTTCCACATCTTGTCCTCCTGGAAGGTCTCCAGTTGCCACAATATGCCTGGAGCTGTCACCTCCAATGATACCAATGCCTCCTTCTGGAATTCCTCCTGAAGGACCTGCCTGAGACTGTTTTACAGTTAACTTTTTAAATATATAAATAGAAGGGGTACATTCTAAAATAACAATAAAAAGTATAGTATAGTATGTACATAAACCAGTAACATACTTATTTATCAATATCAAGTTTTTTTTATTATCAGTATTACGTATTCTCACTTATAGGTGAGAGCTAAACAATGGCTACATAGAGATATAGACAGCGGAATAACAGATATTGGAGACTCCATAAGGTAGAAAATGGGAGGGGGGTGAGGGATAAAATCCTACCTATTGTGCACAATGTATACTGTTTGTGGGATGGGTACACTAAAAGCCCAGATTTCCCCGCTATACAATATATCTATGTAAAACAACTGTACATGCACCCCTAAATATTTGAAAATAATAAGACAAAATAAAACATATTATGTACTGTACATAATTGTATGTGCTATGACTGGCAGCACAATAGATTGGTTTAGCCCAGCGTTACCACAGACATAAGAGTAATGCATTGTGCTATGACAACGGCTACAATGTGATGAGGGCCACCATGTCACTAGGTGATAGGGATTTTTCAGCTCCGTTCTAATCTTATGGAACCACCATGGTACATGGGGTCTGTCATTACCAAAATGTCATTATATGACTGTATATACTTTGGAAAAACCATTATTCTATTGTGGCTTTGAAATATGACATTTTGGCCAGGTGCAGTGGCTCACACCTATAATCCTAGCACTTTGGAAGGCCAAGGTGGGAGGATCACTTGAGGTCAGGAGTTTGAGACCCACCTGGCCAACATGGTGAAACCCCATCTCTAGTAAAAATACAAAAATTAGCTGGGCGTGGTGGTGCATGCCTGTAGTCCCAGCTATTTGGGAGGCTGAGGCAGGAGAATTGCTTGAATCTGGGAGGGGAAGTTTGCAGTGAGCTGAAATCATGCCACTGCACTCGAGCCTGGGTGACAGAGTGAGACTCTGTCTCAAAAAAAAAAAAAAAAAAGACATATGGCATTGTAAAAAATTGTAAAATTATCTTATAGCAAAGAGGGGCAATATATAAAGAAACTGAGACCCAGAGTGCTAAGTGACTTTGCCCAAAGTCACTAAATGAGAGAAAAATTTGATTCCCAGTGTCTTACATGTCTCTCAGATAAGGTTCTTAGCATGTTAAGTTGCAAGAAACAGAAATCAACTATGGCAGATTTAAACAGAAATGAAATTTATTTGGTGAATACATCTACCTAATGTATATTTACAGAGTGCTCACTAGGTACTATGTACTCTTTTAGGCACTGGGGATATGGCAGAAAGCAAATGGACAAAGTCCCTACTCTCAGGGAGCTTACATCCTAGTGGTGGAGACAGACAAACAAATGCATACACATATGCAGTTGAAGAAAAAAAATAAGGAGGAATGGTTCAGATGTTAGCAAAGAAAAATAGAGGTGAACTGGCAGGAGAGAGGAGTGCAATTTTATTTTATTTATTTATTTTATTTTTATTTATTTATTTACTCAGGCTGGAGTGCAATGGCACCATCTCAGCTCACTGCAACCTCTGCCTCCTGGGTTCAAGTGATTCTCCTGCCTCAGCCTCCCGAGTAGCTGGGATTACAGGTGCCCGCCACCACGCCTCGCTAATTTTTGTATTTTTAGTAGAGATGGGATTTCACCATGTTAGCCAGGCTGGTCTCGATCTCCTGACCTCGTGATCCACCTGCCTCGGCCTCCCAAAGTGCTGGGATTACAGGTGTGAGCCACCGTGCCCGGCCAGGGGTGCAATTTTAGATAGGGTGGTCAAGGAAGCCTATCTGGTAAAGTAGCATTTAAGTAGAGACCTGACTGAAGTGAGGAAGCAAGTCATATAGGTATCTTGGAGAAGAGCATTCTAGGCAGAGGGAATAGCAAGACCAAGAGTCCAGCATCAGGAGTGTGCTTGGCATTTTGAGGAATTGAAGAGAGACTGGTGCAGCTGGGAGGAGTGAGCAAGTAAGGGAGTGAGAGGAGATGAGATTAGAAAGGTAGCAAGCAAGAGACCAATCACATAGATCTTGACAAGCATTTTGCATTTTATTTTGAGTAATGAGAAGCTGTGGGGTGACTTTGAGCAGAGGAGTGACATGATCTCAGTTATGATTGTAAAAGATAACAGACTACGGTGTGGAGACAGGTCTGTATGGGAACAAAGTGAAAGCAGAGAAACCAGTTGAGGCTGTTGCACGGGCAACAAAAGTGAAAACAGACAAATGGGATTGTAACAAACTGGAAAGCTCCTGCACAGCCAAGGAAACAATCAACAGAGTGAAGAGACAACTTGTGGAATGGGAGAAAATATTTGCAAACCATACATCTAATAAGGGGTTAGTATCCGAAACACATAAGGAATCCAAACAATCCAATAGCAAGAAAATAACCCAATTAAAAAATGGGCAAGGGACCCACATAGCCATTTCTCAAACAAAGACATGCAAATGGCCAACAGGTGTATGATGGCCAAGGGGTATATGAAAACGTAATGTCACTAATCATCAGAGAAAAGCAAATTAAAACCACAAGCAGCTATCACCTCACACCTCTTAGAATGGCTGTTAATCAAAAAGCGAAATGATAAGTGTTAGTAGGATGTGAAGAAAAGGAAACCATTGCACAATCTTGGGGAGTATGTAAATTAGTATAGCCATTGTGGAAAACAGTGTGGAGGTTCCTCAAAAAAATTAAAGCTAGAATTACCATATGATCCAGCAATCTCACTACTGGGCATATATCCAAAGAAAATAACATTAGTGTGTTGAAGAGATATCTGCGCTCCATGTTCATTGCATCATTACTCACAATAGCAAAGATATGGAATCAACCTGAATGTCCATTAATGGATGAATAAATAAAATATGGTGCGTATACACAATGGAATACTATTCAGCCTTTAAAAAGAAGGAAATTCTGTCATTTGCAACAACATGGATGAACCTGGAAAACATCCATTATTTGCTTTGATTGCTGAAGGAATCAAATGTACTTGAAATCAAAGGGCTGGAGGACATTATGTTAAGTGAAATAAGCTACACACAAAAAGACAAATAGTGGCCAGGAGCAGTGGCTCACTCCTGTAACCCAGCACTTTGGGAGGTCGAGGCAGGCGAATTGCTTGAGGTCAAGAGTTCAAGACCAGCCTGACCAACATGGTGAAACCCTGTCTCTACTGAAAATACAAAAGTTAGCCGGGCATGGTTGTGCAAGCCTGTAATCCCAGCTACTCAGGAGGCTGAGGCAGGAGAACCGCTTGAACCCGGGAGGCAGAGGTTGCAGTGAGCCGAGATCGCGCCATTGCACTGTAGCATGGGTGACAGAGCAAGACTCCATCTCAAAAAAAAAAAAAAATTGTGTATGATCTCACTTATATGTGGAATCTAAAAAAGTGAACTCATAGAAGCAGAAAGTAGTATGGTGATTACCAGAGTCTGGGTGTTGGCGGTGGAGATATTGGTCACAGGATACAAATTTTCAGTTAGAAGGAATATGTTCAAGAGATTTGTTGTAAAACATGGTGACTAGAATTAATAACAATGTGTTGGGCAACGCGCGGTGGCTCACGCCTGTAATCCCAGCACTTGGGTGGCTGACGCGGATGGATCACCCGAGGTCAGGAGTTCAAGACCAGCCTGGCCAATGTGGTGAAACCCTGTCTCTGCTAAAAATACAAAAATTAGCTGGGCATGGTGGCGGGTGCCTGTAATCCCAGCTACTCAGGAGGCTGAGGCAGGAGAATCACTTGAACCCAGTATGCAGAGGTTGCAGTGAGCCAAGATTGCGCCATTGCACTCAAGCCTGGGACAACAAGAGTGAAACTCCATCTCAAAAAACACATTCACACACACAAAAACAATCTGTTGTATTCTTCAAAATCACAAAAACAGTAGATTTTAAGCCTTCTCACTATAAAAAAAGAAACGTGAGGTTAAGCATATGATATTTAGCTTGATTTAGCCATTCCACAGTGTACACATATTTCAAAACATTATGTTGTACGTAATAAATACATAAAATTTTTGGCAATAAAAAATGTTTGATCTAATTTTTTTTAAAGGAGTCTATTTCAGTAATTCAGGTGAGAGATAATGGTGGTTTAGGCCAGGGAGTACTAGCAGAGGAAATGGGCCACTTCCGGAATTTCCTATTGGATTAGATATAAGGTTACAGAGGAAACTCAAAGATGTCTCCCAAGTTTGTGCCTGAAGCAATCAAAAGGAGTTGGATAGTTCGCAGGATTACCTGGAGACTCAAGCTCCACAAATGGACATAAAGGGGAGGGAAAGAGTGAGACACAGCCACTGCCAAGGTCACACCATAGAACCAGTCTGACAAAGCCTTTCTTGCTGCAGGCACCAGACACCGGATGCCACCCCTGGCATGAAAACTGGATGTTACTGTTGTTGGAATAAAGTGTTTCCTGGCTTCTTTCTTTGCATTACTATTTCCTCAGTCAACACCTTGGGTGGACATGTCCACTTGACCAAGCCAAGGTCACATGCCTTCTCCCTTGCTGCAAGAGGTGCTGGGGCAGTAAGTATCAGATCCTTCTACTTCTATAGTGGGACATTGCCCCTGATTTTTACGAAAGCTCAAATGATAGGGGATTCTCCAAATTTAAGGAGTGGGTTCAGATGAAGGGCAGCCACAGAAGCGAGGAATATGCACCACACTATGTTAGAGCAGTCACCATGGAATTGTGTTAGACTGCAGATGGAGGAAGTTACTGCTACTCTTTTAAGAGCTAGAGATCTTGAAGGAATTTTTAAAAAACAATCTGAGAGAGTTTCATTCATAACTGTGAAAGCATGTCGAACTCTTCAACAGGAAGATGAACGGTTGCATTATCACTCAATAGCACTGAGTATCAGTAAAAAACTTCCTTTTGCTTTGCCCACTTCTCTTACCACAGCCCTGCTAGGCTGGGATTCTTATAAAAGGGAGGCTTGCTTTCAAGGCACCCAGGGCCCTATCTCTGTACTACTTATCCTTCCTAATCATTGCAGAGGAAGCGAGGCTAACAACCTTTGATGATTGCTGGAGGAACCAAATGTACTTGAAATCAAAGGGCTGTACCAAAGTCAGGCATTACTGAGCAGTGGTTGACAAAGTTTTTTGGGGCTGAGTGCAGTGGCTCATGCCTGTAATCCCAGCACTTTGGGAGGCCAAGGTGGGAGAATCACTTGAACCCAGGAGTTTGAGACCAACTTGGGCAACATGATGAAACCCCATCTCTACAAAAAATTGAAAAATTAGCCAGGCGCGGTGGCGAGCACCGTAGTCCCAGCTACTTTAGGAGGCTGGGGTGGGAGGATTGCTTGAGCCTGGGAGGTGAAGGCTGCAGTGAGCTGAGATCACGCCACTACATTCCAGCCTGGGTGACAGAGTAAGACCCTGTCTCAAAAAAAAAAAAAAAAAAATGGATTTGAAACCTATTTGGGTCCTACATCTGTACTGCCTGGGAAATTTCTGCTGTCACAGAATATATGGAGGCCAGAGATTCATTGTTCCTTGCGTCAAGAATGTTATAACTTGTGAGGCTATGGATTATATTGAGCAACAACAAGAAAAAAGAATGCTAACAGCCTTAATGATAGAACCAAGCTGGCAGCCTTTTCAGTCCCCATCCCTTCCTTCCTTCCCTCCCTCCCTCCCTCTCTCTTTCTTTCTTTCTTTCTTCTTTCTTTCGAGACGGAGTCTTGCTCTGTCACCAGGCTAGAGTGCAGTGGCATGATCTTGGCTCACTGCAGCCTCTGACTCCCAGGTTCAAGCAATTCTCCTGCCTCACCCTCCCGAGTAGCTGAGATTACAGGCATATGCCACCACGCCCAGCTAATATTTGTGTGTGTGTGTGTGTGTGTGTGTGTGTATTTATTTATTTATTTATGTATTTTGTAGAGATGGGGTTTTACCATGTTGGCCAGGATGGTCTCGATCCCCTGACCTCGTGATCCACCTGCCTCGTCCTCCCAAAGTGCTGGGATTACAGGTGTGAACCAGCAAGCCTGGCCATCCCCGTCACTTTAAACATCATCTGAGCTCTGGATTTGTTACACTGGTGTAAATTGATTGCCACCGAAGTTCAGGTTCTAATTTATGCACCCATTGTTGAAGAGAGAGCCTCCCGGGTCAGCCCAGGGATGCTTGTTCTTTCTACACCTGGCTAACCCAGGTGTTGCTTTTCATTTTCCCCTACTTGGTCCCACAGCCTCCCCCTCAGGGACTTTTCTTCACAGCCTAGGGGGAAAGCTGATTGGTTAGAAAATTTCCCCTTGCCACCAGCCTTGGTCTCTCCTGGCATAGGAGCCATTCCATGGTTTGTGGTCGAGTTGACTAGAAGACAGCTCTGGGTGGCCACCTTTGTTTAGGATGCATGAACTTAAAGCCCATGAATCACCTCTACAGGCTTTTCCTGACTTAGCTTCTGTGGGTGGGGTTGGGAAATTTCCCCAGGCTTTCATAGTACTTCCTGCCTCTGGAAAAGAATCTCCCAGGTTTGGCCGCAACTAGAAGGATGAAACTAACAGGGCATCTGAGCCCTAGTGGGAGAACTGGAGCAAAGTAAGAGTTCATGGTAGGTAAGCAGGAGGACTTGGGCATTGCCTGTTCGCCCTGAGGAAACCAGGAGAGGAGGGAAGTGTTATGGGTATGTGAGGGTAGTGGGTGGGGTTACAGAATGCAGTATCTATGTTTTGGCATTGAATGTAAAAAACATTTTTAAACTAAGAAATAATAATAAATATAAATATATGTGAAATGACTTCTAATTTATGAATCCTTTGTTTGGGACTGTAGTTCTGAGCATATGAAAAGGGGAAAAGAGATAAAAAGTAGATCTTTTACCTTATTGGATTTTTTTTCCCCTCAAGTAGAGATGTGGTCTTGCTACGTTGCCTAAGCTGGTCTTGAACTCCTGGCCTCAAAGAGATCCTCTGGCCCTGACCTCCTAGAATGCTGGGATTACAGCCATGAGCCACTGTGTCTGGCTGCCTTATTGCATTTTAAAAATATATCCCCAAAAAACATTTTGGCAGGGAATGGGTGGCTTTCAGTTTCCAAACTTCTTGGTGACTCATGGAATCCCCTTTCTTTTCCTTAGATACAGGAAGGGAATTTCTAGAGGGGGAGGGAGCTGGAAAGCTGTGAATATTTTTTAACTACACCTTTGTTTTCTCAGCTATGTAATGTGTTTATTATCGTAAAAATTATGTATTGCTAGGTTCTACGATATAAGCTCAGAGCCAGTGCCTGTCTTCTATGATATTAAAATTTAAGATAGGTGTACTTATGAAGACCCAATCTGCAATGACAGAAAACCAAAACAACAATAGGTGAAGTAGGAGTAGGGTGTTTTCATTGAAAAACATAAGTACATTTTAGAGTTCAGAATGAAGGAAAACTTGGGGAAAAAAAGTTGAATTTCATTGTCCAGGTGAAGTGTTCAGCTAGGAGGTTTCCTAAAGGAAAGAGTATTATAGGATCTATTAGAATAAAATTAATTCTTTACATTCTATTGTATAGCTTGTTGGGAAGGGAAGAGATCCTTTTGATGGGGGAAAGTCAAGAGCTTTTATGGCCCCAGAGAGGTGAGAGAAGATGGTTAATTAAACAGTTTTCTTTCACTTCTGCAAATCATAGCATCACCAGATGTTTGGGGTGCAGGTGGGCTAGCTAGCAAGATGCTGACTACCGGAGGTGATTGCTGCTGTGTGCCTCATACCTGAGACTTTGCGCACTTGAAGTTTAATTGTCACATTACCAATCTGCAGCTGAGGGGGCCCTTGCAGATCTGAGAAATGAGATGTCATCAATGCTGGTTTCTGCAGAACACTGAGCCTGGCAGTCAGGCAGGAGGGGAAGTCATGCAGAGGGGGCTGCTGCAGGAAATATGCCCACCTGGGCAAGTGGCATCTTGTGTCCCCATACCCATCAGAACCTACATCTTTCTGTAGAACAGGAAGCACAAGATTGATACCAGCTACTCAAACTGCAAACCATGCCATAGCTAAAAGTGTGACCTCAATTATCCTGGATCAAGAAAATAACAGGTGGCCAACCCTAAAGTCTGTCCATAACAAGGGGAAAAGTCCTTGGGACCTGACTCAGGTCTGGGGCTGTAGGAATCTTTTCTGGACACTCCCCTTTGACTTGAATGCTTTTCCACTCATTGAACAGTTTATTTATGAACCCTATAATAAGAACGAATAAGAAACATTTACCAAATACCAGCAACATATTGCAATATTATGCTAGAACTTACGGGTGATACAAACAAATTATGAAACCTGTACTTTTCTAAGTTATACTTTCCAAAATGCTTTCATATTCTTGCAAGATTTTATCCTTATAACCTCTGCTTATCCTTTCCAGGAAGTCTTCGTCCACTAACCTTACCTTGTTATTTATATATCAGTTTTTTCTTTTTTTGTAGAGATGGGGTTTCGCCATGTTGCTCCTAATGACTAATGAAGCCAATCATCTTCTCTTGTGCTTACTTGCTGTCTGTTTATCTTTTCTGGTGAAATGTCTCTTTAAGTTTTTTGCCCATTTTCTTGATTGGGTTGGTGTTATTTTATTATTGAGTTTTGAGAGTTGTTTATATATTTGGGATACAACTTCTTTGTCAGATATGTGGGTTTTTTTAGATTAAACAAAAACCTCAACCTGGCTTAAATGATAAAAATTTACTGGCTTACATTATAGTGAGACCTGGGCAGACTCCGAGATTGGTGTAGTTCAGTTTTTCTTTTTTTTGAGACGGGGTCTCACTCTGTCACCCATGTTGGAGTGCAGTGGCACGATCTCGGCCCACTGCAACCTATGCCTCCTGGATTCAAGTAATTCTCCTGCCTCAGCCTCCTGAATAGCTGGGACTACAGGTGTGTGCCATCACGCCCAGCTAATCTTTTGTATTTTTAGTAAAGACAGGGTTTCACCATGTTAGCCACGATGGTCTTGATCTCCTGACCTCATGATCCGCCTGCCTCAGCCTCCCAAAGTGCTGGGATTGCAGGCGTGAGCCACCGTGCCCGGCCAGAGTTGTTTTTTACTGTTTTTCCATATCTTTACTCTGCATCTGCTGTCCGAGCTTTATGTGGGGGACAGCTTTTCCCATGGTGAAAAAATTGCTGGCCTCACATCCCTAAACCACTTTGTCCAGAAAGAGAGATAGCTGGCAATCAATAGAGCTTAAGAATGAGAGGGCCGCTGGGCAAGATGTCTCACGCCTGTAATTCCAGCACTTTGGAAGGCTGAGGTGGGCGGATCACCTCAGGTTGGAAGTTCGAGACCACCTTGGCCAACATGGTGAAACCCCATCTCTACTAAAAATACAAAAATTAGCCAGGCATGGGGGTGCACACCTGTAATCCCAGCTACTCAGGAGGCTGAGACATGAGAATTGCTTGAAGCCAGGAGGTGGAGGTTGCAGTGAACCAAGATGGCACCACTGCACTCCAGCCTGGATGACAGAGCCAGACTCTGTCTCAAAAAAAAAAAAAAAAAAAAAAAAAGAATGAGAGGACGTGTACAATGGCTCATGCCTGTAATCCCAGCATTTTGGGAAGCCAAGATGGGCAAATTGCTTAAGCTCAGGAGTTCAAAAACCAGCCTGGGTTACATGGCAAAACCCTGTCTTTACAAAAAATACCCCAAAATTAGCTGGGCATGGTGGCGTGAACCTGTAGTCCCAGCTACTCAAGAGACTGAGGTGGGAGGATTGCTTCAGCCCCCAGAGGTTGAGGCTGTGGTGAGCCAAGACCATGCCACTGCACTCCAACCTGGACAACAGAGTGAGACCCCGTCTCAAGAAAAAAGGAAGGGAAGGGGAGGGGAGGGGAGGGGGAGGAAGGAAGGAAGGAGGGAGGGAGGGAAGGAGGGAAGGAAGGAAGGAGAGAGAGAGAGAAAGAAAAGGAAAGAAAGAGAAAAAGAGAGAGGAAAGAAAGAAAGAAAAAGGAAGAAAGAAAGAGAAAGAAAGAAAGAGAAGGAAAGAAAAAGGAAAGGAAGGAAGGAAGAGAGAGAAAAAGGAAGAAGTGAAGGAAGGGAGAGAAAAAAGAAAGGAAAGGAAGAAAGGAAGGAAGAGAGAGAAAGAAGAAAGAAAGAAAAGAAAAAGAAAGGAAGAAAGGAAGGAAGGAAGAGAGAGAAAGAAAGAAAGTGAGAGAAAGAGAGAAAGAAAGAATATTTTACAACAACCCTAGCCTCCCTAACATCTCACTGGTGTGAATTGGGTCAGATGACCATAGTGAAGCAATGTCCATGGTTAGAGGAATGTCACCTGCTGACTGCGTTAAGCCATGGGGAAGGGATAATTATACTTTAAGGCGGCCAAACATTTTTTTTTATTACCTTTCCGTTTGAGGTTGTTTTCTGCCCACAGCAGAAGCCAGATGTTCACTGTCTCAGTCTGTGTTGAGACAGACTCTCATGCATAGCTATGGCACGTGCATGAAAGCAAGCTCACCAATCAGATGCTTCCCGTGAGATTTTGATTAGGAAGAGAGCAGGATGAGGAAGCTGGATCAATGTTTCTTACCAGGATGGCAGCAGAGGTCCAATCATTTATTTGTTAAGCAGATTGGACCCTGTTGAAGCCATCCCACATAAAATTCAGTCAGCATGGCCCTTGACACACATCACTACAAAACTAGGATCTCTATAGTTTCTTCTACTTCTACCCCACTTATTTCAAACTCGGAGATGTGTGAGGGTTGGAATGACCTTATTTCTGAAAGCTGTGTCTGGTAAAAGGTCTGATAGACCTTATTTCTGAGAGCGGTGTCTAGAAGACCTAGGTCAGTTAGAGGAAGCCCATGGGTGCAAGGGGCTTCCGTAGCTCTCCCTTTTAAGTATTTTGCATAGAATTTACAGTTTCACATAGGAAAGTTCTACGTCAAATGGTATAGTGGGAGAACACTGGGGAAAAGGGAGATGTTACTTTATTAATTTTAAATAAACCAATGTGATTGGAGGATACAGAATTGAGGTAAGAGTATGGTTAAACAAGAGGGATAGACAGGGGACAGAACATGTTAGGGTTTTTTAATTTGTTTTAGAGACAGGGTCTTGCTTTGCTGCCCAGGCTGGAGGGCGGTGGTGCTATCATAGCTCACTGTCACCTGGAATTCCTGGGCTCAAGCAATCCTCCCACTTCAGCCTCCCAAGTAGCTAGGACTACAGGTGTGCATCACCACCCTGGATCATTTTTAAATTTATTTATTTATTTTTTGAGACGGAGTCTTGCTCTGTCACCCAGGCTGGAGTGCAGTGGTGTGATCTCGGCTCACTGCAACCTCTGCCTCCCGGGTTCAAGTGATTCTCCTGCTTCAGCCTCCTGAGTAGCTAGGACTACAGGCGTGTGCCACTATGCCAGGCTAATATTTTGTATTTTTAGTAGGAATGGGGCTTCACCATGTTGGCCAAGCTGGTCTCAAACTCCTGACCTCAAGCAATCCACCTGCCTCAGACTCCCAAATTGCTGGGCTTATAGGCGTGAGTCACCGCGCCCGGCCATTTAAAAATATTTTATAAAAAGGGAGTCTTGGCATCTTACCCAGGTTAGTCTCGAACTCCTGGGCTCAAGTGATCTTCTCACCTCGGCCTCCCAAAGTGTTAGGATTACAAGTGTGAGCCACCACACCTGGCCTCATGTTAGATTTTATAAGTCATAGACCTCATCCAAGTTTATGAGTTGGGCACTTGGATGTGAGTACTGGGTTTACTGCAATGGGGAGCCCTAGAGGCAGAGGATTTGAGGAAAGATGATACTAACTTTGAAGTGCCTTTGAGATATCCTATCAGTGAGGCAGTTGGATATATGGATCTAGGAGCTCAGGAGATATAGAGTCATAGGCAAATTGTTAACATGGAAGGGCATAGGGTGGGAGTTTCCTGGGGCCTTACCCTGGCTCGGTTCATACATGCTGTATGACAGTGCACTGCAAATTTTTCTTTGTAATGGGCAGACCTCTTGGCTACAAGAGACAGAAACTGTTTAACCAGCTTGGGTCAAGGAAGAATTGATGAACCAAATCATAGGAAGGGCAGAAATGCAGCTGGCCCCAAGGAACAATTGGAAAGACAGACTTTCTATAGCCCTTGTCTTTTCTTCTCTTTTCCTCATGTACCATTAAAGCTTCCTGGCTTCCTCCATATGGAAATAAGGAGACACAATTATAGACAGACACAATTGCCGGCTGATTGTGCAGGTAATCAGAGAGAGGCTGACTCTCTTCGCGGTCCCAGTTTGAAAATTGTGGGCAAGGAATTATTGGCCTGGCCTGGGTCAGGCCTCCCCTTGAAATAATTACCTGTGGTGGTGGTATTAGAGTGGTGGTCATGTTTGCACACGGCAGAGTAGAAATTAAGCATTCTGTGTCATGATATTGGCCTGGCTGCTGTGATGGAGATCCAAAATAACAATGGGTTGGCTGGGCACGGTGGCTCATGCCTGTAATCTCGGCACTTGGGAGGCTGAGGTGGGAGGATCACTTGAGGCCAGGAGTTCAAGACCAGCCTGTGTAAACATAGAAAGACCCTGTCTCTACAAAAAATTAAAAACTTAGCTGGGCATTGTGGCATGTGCCTGTAGTCCCAGCTACTCTGGAGGCTGAGGTAGGAGGATCACTTGAGCTGGGAGGGTCAAGACTATAGTGAACCGTGATTGCACCACTGCACTCCAGCCTGGGCAACAGAGTGAGACCCTATCTCAAACAAACAAACAAAAAACGAACATAGCAAATCGAAATAAAAACCACAGTAGGTTAAAAAAGACAGGGGTTCATTTTTCTCATGTAAATGCCTAGACATAAATACAATACTGAAAATATATTTAACAGGACTGCTATGGGTCAAACCAGGAGTGGATCCAGATTTTCTGGGGCTGAATACAATTTTTGGAGCCCTCTTTAAGGAAAATAGTATGAAGTTTCCAGTACAAAATTGATACAAAAGTAAATACTTGCTAAAGATGAGAAAAGAAATCACAACAAATTACTGGAGATTTGAAGTTTCAGGTCCCTTTCTTCTGAGATCTCTTTAGCCAATTTACCAGACACACTTCCTAAACACAATCTGTTCCCCTCCATCTAGAACACTCCGCAACTTCCAGTGATTGGAGGCTCTGAAGCTTCATTAGCTTCATGGTACACCTGCCTTTGCGCTGTGTAAAAATGACACATAAAGAGAGAACAGATACACAAGTGGCTATTAGCCCCTTTCACTTTCTCATTACGCATAACCCCAAAGGGTATTCTTAGGATTTGTAGGTAAGGGTTTGAGAAGGAATATGTCGGCTTAAATATGGAGAGAAACTTTTAAATGCAGTCAATAGATATGATGGACTGCATTAAAATATGTTGAATTCCTTGTCCCTGGAGGGGACTGGACTGATAACGATGGGTGGAGCTGTCTTAATGAAGACTTGAGCAACAGATTGGGTAGGGCTTATTTAGATAGATGAATTCTGAGGTAATAGAGTGAAATGTAAAGAACCTGGACTTCTAAGTAGAAAAGATCTGGGTTTTTGTCCCCACTCCACATCTAGCTGGAAGGATGACATTGGGCAAGAGGTTTTATCTCTCTGAACTTGGACTTCCTCATCTGGAAAATGGGGATAATAAGACAATTTAGGTTTCTGTACAGATTAAATGTGGATGAATTTTAAACACCCAGGTACATAATAATACAAGTGATTTCCCTCTCTCCAGATCCTTTGCAGTATCAAGATTCTATGATTTTATGTGGGATCTGAGATGCGTCTTGAAATCTAAATAGGACTTAGGTGAGCACATAGGGAGATAGGCATTCTAGACAGAGGACTTTGATTTTAAGGTGATATATTTCTAGATTTTGTCTGTTTCACATCCCTTCTCTTTTTTCAATGACAGTCAAGTAATTTGGAGACAATTTATAAATCACAAAACAATCCCCTTATCACCCAACTTCTCATTGTGTGGCTATATAATCCATATCTTGAATGGCAGAAGTAAGTCTTCAAGTAATTCCTTTTAAAAGGGCAGTAGGTATTCTATTTACTGAGCTCTTGCATATCTGAGAATGCTTTTCTGTTGTCTTCACCCAGGCATATTCGTTTGGTCAGATATAAAATACTTTTTTGTAAATCCATTTTATGTCTGGCTTAACAGAAGACAGATGAATTCTCATATATTTCTGCATTCAATCTGTTATAATATGTTGTCTTGGTTGAAATATATGAAGAAAATCTGGCTTCACACGGATATATACTTGGGAAAGGGAGAAATATTTTAATATTCTTTTCAGATAATTCTGGATATTCTCCTTTGATACTATATCAAAATTCAGGAAGTGGCAGTCTCCTAAAGTTTAGTTGCA